>NC_000022.11:16302843-16304296 GCF_000001405.40 Homo sapiens
GACTCTTATAACAAAATAACATAAACCGGGTGACTTAAAAACAACAGATATTTCTTTTTTCACACTTCTTGAGGCTGTAAGATCTCAGGTCAAGATGCTCACAAATTCAGTGTTGATGAGAGCCCATTTCATGGTTCATAGATAGTGCCTTCTTTCTATATCCTCACATAGTGGAAGGCACACAGGAACTCCATTGAGCTTCTTTTATAAGGGCACTAATCCCATTCACAAGGGCTCGGCTCCCAAGACCTGGTCACCTCCCAAGTGTTCTGCTCTCCCTGATCTGTATCATATACAGACTCTCTTGAGTTCCTTACCAATTGCTTGAGAGATCACAGTGGGTTTGTGGGGAAAAAGTTTTCAAGATGATGGATCTTTCCCAACTTCTGCAGCTGTCAGCGGTCTCCCAATCTCACCAGCCCCACTTTGTCTTTAGGAATTTATTGATTATTCCAGCTTTACTTGTCATAGTGGTGTCTATTTGCATCTGTCCTATGTAAGTGCATCTGTCCTTTTTCTCCTTGCAGGTGCAAGTACTCAAGAGTACACTGTTGTTACTAATTACTCAGTATTGGTTGGTACATTGTCAAAGATCAAAAAACATTTTAAAGATAAAAAAAAATCTTGGAAGTTGTGTAATGAAGGGTTAATTCTGCAGACATGGCTTTCCAAAACCTTCCGCGTTCCAAAGGTCTTCAGGACTGGCCCTTGACAAGCTCCTGGGAGATGATAACCTATGAGCCCTTGGTATATGCTGCCTGATGAGAGTCTTTGTATACCTGCAAACGTAGATCATATCACATAGCTTATGCTAACAACGTGATTTCTTGTGAGCACCTGTTTCTGTATGCCTATGACTTTGTGTAATGCCATATTAATATGACCTCTCTTAGGGCATAGGGAGGTTGGGAACTAAATACCTAAGTTCAGTCACAGGACGCTCGATGCATATGTGGTGGAATCCTAATAAAAACCCTGGACTCAAGACTGACTGAACTTCCCTAGTTGGCAACAAGTTCACACATGTTGTCTCACACCATTGTAAAGAAAATTAGTCAGTGTGAAGTCCCCACTATGAAAGGACACCTGTAAGCTCACATCTGGTTTGTCTTGGACTCAATTTTATATGCTTTTATGCTTCTGATTATTTTAATCTGGTTTCTTTCACTGTTAGAAACTATAACCACAAAAGAAAATCAGCTTTCTTGAGTTATGTGAATCATTAAACCAAAGGGGGACTTGGGGACCCCCAATAAAAAGTATATATATTCTTAAAAAGAAAAAGAA
Source organism: Homo sapiens (assembly GCF_000001405.40). NCBI lineage: Eukaryota > Metazoa > Chordata > Mammalia > Primates > Hominidae > Homo > Homo sapiens. The sequence goes on from NC_000022.11 coordinate 16,304,131, forward strand.
AACTGGCTACAGCAGATATTGCTGATGACTTGTCTTCTATGTCCTGGACTCAACGTGTTCACCTGAAATTCACCTGTTTCCAGCTAACTGAGAGCTCCCCACATCATGCCTGTCTTTCTGATTTTTGGGCCTGCCTGCAAGCTTCTTGAGGCTAACCAGTGCTTCT
>NC_000022.11:16305427-16307048 GCF_000001405.40 Homo sapiens
TGCTATTGTGTGCATACATATTTCTTATTTACATGACTTCTTGGTGTATTTTCCCCTTTGTCATTTTGAAATGTTATTCTTCATCCCCAGTGATATTTCCTCTTCTGATGTCTACTTTGCTCTTCACAATTTTAGGGGGTTTTGGTTTGTTTGTTTTTCTATTTTTTGGATCAAGTAAGTTTCTTAGAAATCTGTTTGATTCCATTTGATGATTCCATTTGATTCCATTCGAGGATTCCACTCGATTCCATTAGATGATGATTCCATTCGTGTCCATTCAATGATTCCATTCGAGTCCATTTGATGATTCCATTCAATTCCATTCGATGATGATTCCATTCGAGTCCATTCGATGATTCCATCCGATTCCATTCAATAATGACACAATGCGAGTCCCTTCGTTGATTCCATTCGATTCCATTCTATGATGACTGCATTCGTTTCCATTTGATGATGATTCTAACAGATTCCATTCGGTTGCACCATTCGATTCCATTAGATGATGGTTCCACTAGATTCCATTCGATGATGATTTCATTAGATTCCTTTCGATGATGATCCAATTCGATTATATTCAATGATGATTCTATTCAATTGCATTCAATAATTTCATTCAATTCCATTCGAAGATTCCATTCGATTCCATTTGATGGTGATTCCATTCGTGTCCAATTGATGATTCCATTCGATTCCATTTGATGATGATTCTATTTGAGTCCATTCGATGATTCCATTTGATTCCATGCAATGATGATTCCATCGAGTCCATTCGATGATTCCATTTGATTCCATTAGATGATGACTGCATTCCGTTCTATTCGATGATGATTCTAACAGACTCTATTCGATGACTCCATTCGATTCCATTCATTGATGATTCCATTCAATTCCGTTTGATGATGATTCCATTGATTCCATTTGATGATGATTCCATTCGATTAGACTTAATGATGATTCCATTGGATTCCATTCAATGATTGCATTTGATTATATTCGATGATGATTCCTTTCGGGTCCATTCGATGATTCCATTCTATTCCATTTGATGATGACTCCATTTGATTATTCCATCCAACTCCATTTGATGTTTTGTTTCGATTCCAATGTTCATTCCATTTGAGTCCATTCTATGATTCCATTCAAGTGCATTCCATGATTTCATTCAATTCCATTCGATGATGATTCCATTCGATTCCATTCGATGATTCCATTTGATTTCATTCGATGATGATTACACTAGATTCCATTCAATGATTCCATTCGAGTCCATTCAATGATTCCATTCGAGTCCATTAAATGATTCCGTTTGATTCCATTTGATGATGACTCCATTCGAGTCAATTGAATGATGATTCCATTTGATTCCACTCGATGATTCCATTGGATTCCATTCTTTGTTTTATTTTGATTCCTTTTGATGATGATTCCATTCATTTTCATTTGATGATCCCATTCGATTCTATTCGTTGATGTTTCCATTCAAATCCATTTGAAGAAAGTTCCATTCGATTCCATTGATGATGATTCCATTCAATTCTATTTGATGCTGATTCTATTCGATTCCATTCGATGATGATTCCATTCCATTCCATTCGATGATTAAATTCGATTCCATTCGAAG
>NC_000022.11:16307605-16310302 GCF_000001405.40 Homo sapiens
ATGATTCCATTCTAGTCCATTTGATGATTCTCTTCGATTCCATTCGATAATTCCGTTTGATTCCGTTGGATGTTGATTCCATTTGAGTCCATTCCATGATAATTCCATTCGATTCTATTTGGTGATTCCATTCGATTCCATTTGAAGATGATTCCATTTGAAACCATTCGATGATTCCATTCAATTCATTCAATGACGATTCCATTCAATTCCATTCGATGATTCCATTTGATTCCATTTGATGATGATTCCATTTGATTCCATTCAATGATGATTCCATGTGATTCCATTCGATGATGACTCTTTTCGTTTCCATTCAATGATGATTCCATTCGGTTGCATTCGATGATGATTCCTTTGGATTCCATTTAATGACGTTTCCATTCAATTCCAATTGATGATGATTCTTTTCGATTCCATTCGATGATGATTCCATTCAATTCCATTTGAACATGATACCATTTGATTCCACTTGATGATTCCATTCGATTCCATTCAATGATGATTCCATTCGAGTTCATTGATTATTTCATTCCATTCCATTTGATGATTCCATTCGAGTCCATTCGATGATTCTATTCGATTCCATTCGATAATTCCATTCTATTCCATTTGATGATAATTCCATTCGAGTCCATTCGATGATTATTCCATTCGATTCTATTCAGCGATTCCATTCAATCCCATTTGATAATGATTCCATTCGAGACCATTCAATGATTCCATTCAATTCATTCCATGATGATTCCATTCAATTCCATTCGATGATTCCATTCAATTCCATTCGATGATTCCATTCGATTCCATTTGATGATGATTCCATTCGATTCCATTCGATGATGATTCCATGCAATTCCATTCGACGGTGACTCCTTTCGGTTCCATTCGATGATGATTCCATTCGGTTCCATTCGATGATGATTCCTTTGGATTCCATTCAATGATGATTCTTTTCATCTCCATTTGATGTTGATTCTTTTCTATTCCATTCGATGATGATTCCATTTGATGCCATTCGATGATGATTCATTCGATTCCATTCAATGATTCCATTCAATTCCATACAATGATGATTCCATTCGAGTCCATTCGATGATTCCATTCAATTCCATTCGATGATGATTCCATTTGATTCCATTCAATGATTCCTTTTGATTCCTTTTGATGATTATTCCATTCGAGTCCATTCGGTGATTCCTTTTGATTTCAATTGAAGATGATTCCAGTTGATACCATTCGATGATACCATTTGATACCATTCATTGATGATTCCATTTGAGTGCATTCCATGGTACCATTCGATCCCATTCAATGATGAATCCATTCGATTTCACATGATGATTCCATTCAATACCATTCTATGATGATTCCATTGGAGTCCATTTGATGATTCCATTTGACTCCATTTGATGATGATTCCATTCAATGATTCCATTTGATTCTATTCGATGATGATTCTATTCGGTATCGTTCGATGCTGATTCCATTCAATTCCATTTGATTATTCCATTTGATTGCATTCGAAGGTTCCATTAGATTATATTTGAGGATGATTCCACTCGATTCCATTCAATGATTCCTTTCAATTCTATTCGATGATGATTCCATTAGATTCCATTGGATGATGACTGCATTTGATTCCATTCGATGATTACATTTGATTCAATTCGATGATGATTGTGATCAATTACGTTCGATTATTTCATTCGATTCCATTCGATGATTCCAATTGATTCCATTCGATAATGATTCCATTCGAGTCCATTCAATTATTCCTTTTGAGTCCAATCCATGATTCCATTCGAGTCCGTTCGATCATTCCATTTGAGTCCATTCGATGAAGATTCCATTCGAGTCCATTCAATAATTCTTTTTAAGTCCATTTGATGATGATTCCATTCGAGTCCAGTCAATGATTCCATTTGATTCCATTCGACGATGATTCCATTTGAGTCCATTCAAGGATTCCATTTGATTTCATTCGATGATGATTCCATTTAATTCCATTGAATGATTCCATTCTATTCCATTTGATGGTGATTGCATTCGARTCCATTCAATGATTCCATTCGGGTCCATTTAATGATTCCATTGAGTTCAACACGATGATGATTACATTGGATTCCATTCTATGATTCCATTCGATTCTTTTCGTTGATGATTCCGTTCGATTCCATTCAATGATTATTCCATTCGATTTCATTCGATGATTATATTTGATTCCATTTGATGAAAATTCAATTCTGTTACATTGGATGATTCCATTCGATTCCATTCGATGATGATTCCATTCGATTCCATTCGATGATGATTCCATTCAATTACATTAGATGATGAATCCATTCGATTCCATTCAATGATGATTCCATTCTATTCCATTCGATGATGATTCCATTCAATTTCATTCGATGATTCCATTTGATCCCATTCGATGATGATTCCATTCTATTCCATTGGATAATTCCATTCTATTCCATTCGATGATGATCCCATTCGATTCCATTCGATGATGATTACATTTGATTCCATTCGATGATGATTCTATTCGATTCCATTTGAGGATGATTCCATTCACTTGCATTCAATGATTTCAATTGAGTCGATTCAAAAATTCAATTTGATTCCATTCGATCATGACTCCATTCGAGTCCGTTCGATGATTCCATTCTATTCCATTCCATGATGATTCCATTCGAT
>NC_000022.11:16310402-16313516 GCF_000001405.40 Homo sapiens
CATTAGATTCCATTTGATGATGATTCCATTCGAGTCCATTCGATGATTCCATTCGATTCCATTCGATGATGATTCCATTTGAGTCCATTCGATGATTCCATACGATTCCATTTGATGATGATTCCACTCGAGTCCATTAGATGATTCCATTCGAGTCCATTTGATTATTCCCTTAGATACCATTCACTGGTGATTCTATTCGATGCCATTCGATGATTCCATATGGTTCCATTTGGTGATATTTCCATTTTAGTCCATTCGATGATTCCATTGGATTCCATTCAATGATGATTCCATTCGTATCCTTTCAATGATTCCATTTGATTCCATTCAATGATGATTCCACTCGAGTCCATTTGATGATTCCATTCGATTCCATTTGATGATTCCTTTCGATCCCATTTGATGATTCCCTTTGATTCCATTTGATGATCACTCCATTCAATTCAGTGATCCCATTGGATTCCATTCGATGATTATTCCATTAGATTCCACTCCATGATGGTTCCATTCGGTTCCATGTGATGATGATTCCATTAGATTCCATTCGATGATTCCATGCGATTCCATTTGTTGATGATTCCATTCGATTCCATTTGATGATGATTCCATTCGATTCCATTTGATGTTGATTCCATTTGTTTTCATTCGATGATTCTATTTGATTCCATTCGATGATGATTCCATTCTATTCCATTCGATGATTCCATTCGATTCCATTCTATGATGATTGTATTTGACTCCATTTGATGATGATTCCATTTGATTCCATTCGATGATGATTCCATTCATGTCCATTCGATGATTCCACTCAATTCTATTCGATGATGACTCCAAACAAGTCCGTTACATGATTCTATTTGATTCCATTGGATGATGATTCCTTTCGATGCCATTCGATGATTCCCTTCTATTTCATTTGATGACGATTCCATTCGGTTCCATTCGATGATTCCACTCAATGATGATACCATTCAATGCCATTCAATGATTCCATTCGATTCCGTTCAATGATTCCATTCAATTCCATTCAATGATGATTCCATTCGAATCCATTCAATGCTTGCATTCGATTCCATTCGATGATGATTGCATTCGAGTCCATTTGATGATTCCATTTGATTTCATTCAAAGATGATTCCATTCGATTCCATTCAATGGTGTTTCCATTCGAGTCCATTCGATGATTCCATTCGTTTCCATTTGATGATGATTCCATTCGATGTCATTCAATGATTCTATTTGATTGCCTTCAATGATGATTCCTTTCGAGTCCATTCAATGATTCCATTCAAGTCCATTCGATGATTCCTTTCAATTCCATTCGATGATGATTCCATTTGAGTCCATTCGATGATTCCATTCGATTCCATTCGATGATGATTCCATTCGAGTCCATTCGATGATTCCATTCGCGTCCATTTCATGATTTTTTTGGATTCAATTCGATGATGATTACATTGGATTCCATTCTATGATTCCATTCGATTCCATTAATTGATGATTCCATTCGACTCCACTCGATGATGATTCCATTCGATTTCAATGATTCTATTCGATTCCATTCGATGATTCCATTCTATTCAATTCGATGATTCCTTTAGATTCCACTTGATGATGATTACATTCGATTTCATTCAATGATTCTATTTGATTCCATTCGATGATGATCCCATTTTATTCAATTCTATGATTCCATTCGATTCCATTCGGTGATGATTCCATTCAAATCCATTTGATGATTCCATTCAATTCCATTCAATGATGATACTATTTGAGTCCATTCGATGATGACTGCATTCGATTCCATATGATGATTCCATCTTATTCCACTCGATGAAGATTCCAATCGATTACATTAGATGATTCCATTCAATTCCATCTGATTATTCCATTTCATTCCATTCCATAATGATTCCATTTGAGTCCAATCCATGATTCCATTCAAGTCCATTCAATCATTCCATTTGAGTCCATTCGATGATGATTCTATTCAAGTCCATTTGATGATGATTCCATTCAAGTCCATTCGGTGATTCCATTCGAGTCCATCCGATAATTCCATTTCAGTCCATTCGATGATGGCTTTTGATTCCATTCGACGATATTCCTTTTGAGTCCATTCCATGATTCCATTTGATTCTATTCGATGATGATTCCTTTCATCTCCATTCGGTGATTCCATTCGATTTTATTCAATGATGATTCCTTTCAAGTCAATTAGATGATTCCTTTCAATTCCATTTAATGATGATTGCATTCGAGTCCATAAAGTGATTACATTCGATTCCATTCAATGATGATTCCATTCAATTCCATTCGATGATCCTATTTGATTCCATTCAGTGATTCCATTTGATTCCATTCGATGATGATTCCATTACATTCCATTCGATGATTCCATTTGATTCCGTTCAATGATGATTTCATTCGAGTCCATTTGATGATTCCATTTGATTCTATTCGATGATTTATCCATTCGAGTCCATTCTATGATTCTATTCGAATCCATTTGATGATTACTTTTGATTATATTCGGTGATGGTTCCATTCGAGTCCATTCAATGATTCCATTTGATTCCATTCGATGATGATTCCATTCGAGTCCATTTGATGATTCCATTTGACTCCATTCTCCAATGATTACATTCGAGTCCATTTGATGATTCCACTCGATTCCATACGATGATGATTCCGTTCAATTCCATTCGATGATTCCATTCTATTCCATTCAATGATGATTCCATTCGAGTACATTAGAAGATTCCGTTCGATTATATTCGATGATGATTCTATTCGTGCCCATTACATGAGTCCACACAATTCCATTCAATAATGATACTATTCGAGTCCATTCAATGATTCTCTTCAATTCCATTCGATGATGATTCCTTTCAATTCAATTCATTGGTGATTCTATTCAATTCCATTCTTTGATTGCATTCCATTCCATTCGACAATTATTCCATTTGATTTATTTCGATGATTCCACTCAATTCCACTTGACATTGATTCCATTTGATTCCATTCAATGATTCCATTTGATTCCAGTTGATGATGATTGCCTTTGATTCCATTCGATCATTCCATTCGATTCCGTTTGATGATGATTCC
>NC_000022.11:18339129-18433513 GCF_000001405.40 Homo sapiens
GTGTCTCATGCCTGTAATCCCAACACTTTGGGAGCCTGAGGTAGAAGTTGAGGTCAGGAGGTCCAAGACAAGCCTGGGCAACATAGTGAGTCTACAAAAAAAATATTGAGAATCTACATAAATATAGTGGGGGTGGGGGTGGGGAACAAGAAAACAAAAAATTCAAAGCATAGTGAAAAGAAATATAGCAAAACCCAGCCGGGCATGGTGCCTCACGCCTGTAATCTCAGCACTTTGAGAGGCCGAGGCATGTGGATCACGGGGTCAGGAGATCGAGACCATCCTGGCTAACACAGTGAAACCTGTCTCTACTAAAAATACAGAAAAATTAGCCACATGTGGTGGCGGGTGCCTGCAGTCCCAGCTACTTGGGAGGCTGAGGCAGGAGAATGGCGTGAACCTGGGAGGCGGAGCTTGCAGTGAGCCGATATCGCGCCACTGCACTCCAGCCTGGGCGATAGAGCGAGACTCCGTCTCACAAAAAAAAAAAAAAAAGAAAGAAAGAAATATAGCAAAACACAACAAAAAAATTAAAATTTGCTGGGTGTAGTTGTGCCTTTAGTCTCAGCTACTGGGGAGGGTCTGCTGGAGGATCACTTGAGCCCAGGGGTTCAAGGCTGTGATTAAGCCACTGCACTCCAGCCTGGGTAACAGAGCAAGATCGTATCTCTAAAAAAAAAAAAGAAAAAAGAAAACACTCTCTGGCCACAGATGAGAGAAGGCAGACAGGAAGCCAGTAAGCCAAGCAGGCAGAGGGCAGGTGGCCCCAGCCCAGCTGTCGGGTGGTGAGCAGTGTCAGGGAGACAGGAGTGCCGGAGCTGGTGAGGTTCCCAAGGAGGTGAGGTTGCCTGTGGCCCCCTCCCAGGGCACAGTCCCACCCCTCCAGTAGTGCACTCTGTCCTCCCTGGTAGGTACAGGCTTTTCCCCACCACCATGGTGCAGCCATGCCTGCCCCCAACACCACTGGTGCAGCTCCATCCTCCACGCAGTGGTGCAGCCCCATCCCAGCGCCCATTCGAGCTGCTGTCCCATTGCAGGGGGCATTGTGACAGCTGAGGACCTGAACAACTACCGTGCTGAGCTGATCGAGCACCCGCTGAACATCAGCCTGGGAGACGCGGTGCTGTACATGCCCAGTGCGCGGCTCAGCGGGCCCGTGCTGGCCCTCATCCTCAACATCCTCAAAGGTGAGTGGTCGCACCACAGCCGTGTGGTAGGACCCATGACACTGCCTCTCTCTCCCCACGCCCCACCCCTCCTGCATCTCTGCTCGCCCCCCATGCCACGTCTTTCCATCACTGAGCTCCTGAGGTGTGTCCCTGCGTCACAGCTCACCATGTCCTGAAGGAGGCAGTGCAGAGCAACAGGGCTGAAGCGGGCAATGCTCAAGGGTTGGAGGAGGAACAGGAGTCATCAGGAGGGAGAGAGGTGCAGGAGCTCAGGGCTGCAGGGCCGGTCCAGAGGGTACCCCGGTCCAGTGGGTGACCCTGCCACTTGGTCATTGAATGGCCAGAGCTGATGCGTGACGTGAGGTCCAGGCTCAGGAGCCCTCACCTTACTTCACTCTCACCACAGCCTTCTGAAGCAGCTGCTGCTATTGGTTATTAAACGCTCCTTGAGGTGGGCAAAGTGGCTCAGGCAGGTGTTAACCCTCTGAGCCCCTCAGAGCCTCTGGGGCTCAGCAACATGCACCTGGCTCTGATCAACCAGGGTACAACTTCTCCCGGGAGAGCGTGGAGACCCCCGAGCAGAAGGGCCTGACGTACCACCGCATCGTAGAGGCTTTCCGGTTTGCCTACGCCAAGAGGACCCTGCTTGGGGACCCCAAGTTTGTGGATGTGACTGAGGTAAGGGGCAGGGGCTGGCTCACTGTGGGTGTGGGGCCTGCCGTAGAGGCATCAGGTGGGCTCCCCAGGGTGGCTACAGCCTCACATATGCTTTATGAATCCATTCCTGCCACAGAATTTGATTGCGGGCCTACTGTGTGCTCGGATGGACTCGTGGGTGACCCCCAGTCTTGGCTTCTGCCCCACAGAACTGACAGTGTGGGGAATTAGTGGCCACCCTCCTACCTCAGGTCCTTTGCACATGCTGTGGTTCTTGAGTGCTCAGTGCTGAGATGAGGAATGCATGGGGGCATTGCAGCCCTCGGGCATGGTGAGATGGATGGGTGAAAGGGAGAGGGCCAGGTGAACAGAGACCTCGGCCACCCACTCCCTGTCACTCCAAACTAACGCTTCCCAGATGCCACCCTCAGCCCTGCACCACCTGACCCACTCACCCAGTAGTTGCCCCAGCTCCATGCTGGGTCCCTATAAGACCCTGTCATATCCCTTCCCGCTGAGGATCCTCACATCCCTCCTTACCTACTTGGGTCCTTGGCATTCCTGGGCGGATCTGCAGACCCCCCCACACTGACCAGTGACCTCCCAGGAGGGGCGTCAGCTGCCCGGGTGGTGTCTTCTCTTTCCCTGTGAGCATTCTGCACCTCTGACTCCCGCTGCAGCCAGTGACCTGGTGTCTTGTCTCTCTAAGGGGACAGAGCCACTGCAGCGTGTCCCTCTGCCCTCCTTTTTGGCTAAGGCCAGGTCCTTCATCTACTCGCTGGCTCGGGGTGCTGTTCCTACAATGCTCCTGTCTGCCTCTGATGATTTATTTCTTTATCACGGATTATTCCCAAAAAAAAGGCAGCTGTTATTGCTCTAGAGACTTCTATCTGCTGCCTCCTTCTGTCCTTTGCTCCTCTTAGAGCAAACATGGCTGGGCTATGTCCTCTCTCCCTTCAGGGTATCCCCTCCCCTGCTCTATCCCCATGCCACCAGATCGCCATGTCCAGCCTCAGTTTCCCCATCAGGCCCCACTCAGCAGCATCTCACACAGCTCACCACACTCTCCTCGAGTTTTCATTTTGCAAATTTTCGCACCTACAAAAATGTAAAAAAAACCCAAAACTGCCCAAGCATCAATGTTCCCTTTTCCTGGATTCTGCAGTGTGGACATTTCTGCCGGATTTCCTAACTCTCTCCGTCTCCACCCACATCTATTGGGATTCGTGTTTTTCTGAGGGATTCCACAGTAGGTTACTGATGTCGCACCTCAGGGTGTGTCTCAAAAGTGAGACTTGAACATAGCACAGCAGGATGTCGGGGTGACACAACCTGCTGTCCCTTCTCTTTACCTACAGTAGGCTCCCTTGGCTGTTTTGTTTTTGTTGTGTTTTTGTTTGTACACAGAGTCTCTGTCATCCAGGTTGGAGTGCAGTGGTGTGATCTTGGCTCACTGCAGCCTCAACCTCCAGGGCTCAAGCAATCCTCCCACTTCAGCCCCCTGAGCAGCTGGGACCAGAGGCACGTGCCACCAAACCTGGATAATTTTTGTATTTTTTTTAGAGACAGGGTCTTGCCCAGACTGGTCTCAAACTCCTGGGATCAAACTGTCTTCCCACCTCAGCCTCCCAAAGCGCTGGGATTACAGGTGTGTTTTTTCTTTGAGACGGAGTCTCGCTCTGTTGCCCAGGCTGGAGTGCAGTGGCGCTATCTCGGCTCACTGCAAGCTCCGCCTCCTGGGTTCACGCCATTCTCCTGCCTCAGCCTCCCGAGTAGCTGGGACTACAGGCGCCCGACACTGCGCCCAGCTAATTTTTTGTATTTTTAGTAGAGACGGGGTTTCACCGTGATCGCGATCTCCTGACCTCGTGATCCGCCTGCCTCGGCCTCCCAAAGTGCTGGGATTACAGGCATGAGCCACCGTGCCTGGCCTGTTTTGTTGATTTTTAAAGCCCAGGGCAGTAGTCTTGGAAAATGTCCCACATCGTGGATTTGCCTTTCTGTTTCCTTGAGGGCAGATTCAGACAGAACACCTTTCCCTGGGATTGGTCAGCTAATCCGTGGGGTGTTGCTGAAACTTTATTTTATTTTATTTTATTTTATTTTATTTTATTTTTGAGACGGAGTCTCGCTCTGTCCCCCAGGCTGTCCCCCAGGCTGGAGTGCAGTGGCGGGATCTCGGCTCACTGCAAGCTCCGCCTCCCAGGTTCACGCCATTCTCCTGCCTCAGCCCCCCAAGTAGCTGGGACTACAGGTGCCCACCACCGCGCCCAGCTAATTTTTTGTATTTTTAGTAGAGACGGGGTTTCACTGTGTTAGCCAGGATGGTCTCGATCTCCTGACGTCATGATCCGCCCTCCCAAAGTGCTGGGATTACAGGCCTCGGCCTCCCAAAGTGCTGGGATTACAAGCGTGAGCCACCGCGCCCGGTGTTGAAACTCTCTTGAGGCATTTTCTTCGGCCTTCGGGTCCATCCTCTCTGTCTCCTCTTTGACCTCCTCATCTCCTCCTCGCCACTGCCTTGGGGACCTTGGCCAGGCTCATGGCATCCAGCAGCCACTCAATGTCAATACCTCCATGTTCATCTCTCAGCCCGCCCTTGCCCGTGAACCCATGCTTATTTATTTATTTTTTTTATACGTGCACCCATGCTCTTTGGGTCTGATGAAGTATCCAAAATCAAGCTCCTGACCATCCCCAAACCGGCCCCTTCTGCCGGCCTCGCTAGTCGGCACCATGCTTGATTCTTCTCTTTCTCCCACCCAGGCCATCATCTCTTGCCTGGTTGATACCCACAGCCTCCCCTTTGGGCTTTATCCTTATCCCCGTCATAGCTGCCAGAGGGACCCTGTGAAAACACTCCCCAGCCTCCTCATTCTTCTGCCCTAAGCCTGCATGGCACAGAGCAAAAGCCAGTTGTTATGGGACCTAGGAGGTCCTGTGGGATGGGCCCCAGCCTGCATCTTCATCCTCTTCTCCCCACCCCACTCCATTCACTCTCTGCCTATCGCTCACCAGCCTATACCACCTGCCTCAGGGCCTTTGCACTGACCATTTAGGCAACATTCCAGGCTCTTTTCACACGTTGCCTCCTCTGAGAAGCCCTCCCTGACCACTCTGCCCATACCTCATGCCTCTTGATTCCCCTTACCTGGCCTGTGGTTTCAGCACTTTCCCTGTGTGTGTTTGTTTTTCTTGGCATGAGGGCAGGACTTAAGTGTCTGTTCCCTGTTGATTCCCCAGTGCCAGGCATGCAGTGCAAATTCTAGAAATATTTTTTGCATGAAAGAATGAGTGATTGAATGCGGCAAGGGTCTGGAGGCTGAGGACCAGGCAGACAGACATTCAGAGTTGCTGGAACGCGACAGAGACAGGGAGTCAGACTGGTCATGCAAGGTCCTGGGCCTGCCCTTGGGTCCTGGGGAGCCACGGAAGGTTGTGGGTGCCAGAGGGTTGCGGTCAGAGTCACAGTCAAGGGCCTTCTGAGACCTGTGCCCCCTCCCCACCTCCTCAGGCCAGCTCTGGGGTCTCAGCAGGTGGTCCGCAACATGACCTCTGAGTTCTTCGCTGCCCAGCTCCGGTCCCAGATCTCTGACCACACCACTCACCCGATCTCCTACGACAAGCCCGAGTTCTACACGCCGGATGACGGGGGCACTGCTCACCTGTCTGTCGTCGCAGAGGACGGCAGTGCTGTGTCCGCCACCAGCACCATCAACCTCTAGTAGGGGCTGCTGGGCCGCCTGGGTGGGAAAGGGCCAGGGGCGGGTGGCCCAGGGACTGCCCACTTATCCAGTAAGGTGGCTCCATCACCTCTTTTCCTGGTGGGAAACTGAGGCCCAACCTTGGTAGCTTATCCTGGGCCTCTCAGTGAGTATGTTTGAGCCTCAGTGGGTGGATAGGGACCAGGCTGGGCCAGGCAAGGTCGGGTGCTGTCTGACCTGGCTGGGCGGTAGCTTTGGCTCCAAGGTCTGCTCCCCGGTCAGTGGGATCCTGTTCAATAATGAATGGACGACTTCAGCTCTCCCAGCATCACCAATGAGTTTGGGGCACCCCCCTCACCTGCCAATTTCATCCAGCCAGGTATGGGGTGGAGGTCCGGGGGGTGGGGGACTGGGGTGGAGAGGGGCGGGTGTCCTGGGCAGGCAGCTGACGGGCATCCCTGTCTTCTCCCATCGGCCGCAGGGAAGCAGCCGCTCTTGTCCATGTGCCCGACGATCATGGTGGGCCAGGACGGCCAGGTCCGGATGGTGGTGGGAGCTGCTGGGGGCACGCAGATCACCACAGACACTGCACTGGTATGTGTCACCCCTTTTCTCCCTGGCCCTGCCCACTCTGCACAGCCCCCAAGCCACGCTGATCACACTCCCATGCCCCAGGCCATCATCTACAACCTCTGGTTCGGCTATGACGTGAAGAGGGCCGTGGAGGAGCCCCGGCTGCACAACAAGCTTCTGCCCAACGTCACGACAGTGGAGAGAAACATTGACCAGGTGGGCCGGGGGTTGGAGAAACTGAGTCACGGTGTGGGGTCCCAGGGCATCCTGGGCTGGAGGCCTGGATCATCACAGAGTGGACAATGGTTGGTGTCCTCTCTCTAGTGCCTGGGCCATCTGGAGCCCCTGTGACATGAGGGCCAAGCCCCCTGCTCCAGTGAGACCCAGCAGGCCCCAACCTGCTCTTCCTGATGACCTGGCCTGAAATGGCACCACCTGGGCTGAGGCCTGTGACCACACAGGTGTGGTTCAGGTGGCATCTGGAGCCCTGCTCAGGCTTCCCCTCTCCTCCCACCCCCAGGCAGTGACTGCAGCCCTGGAGACCCGGCACCATCACACCCAGATCGCGTCCACCTTCATCGCTGTGGTGCAAGCCATCGTCCGCACGGCTGGTGGCTGGGCAGCTGCCTCGGACTCCAGGAAAGGCGGGGAACCTGCTGGCTACTGAGTGCTCCAGGCAGACAAGGCTGACAAGCAATCCAGGGACAAGATACTCACCAGGATGAGGAAGAGGACTTTGGGGGACGGGCTTCCCCTGTGAGCAGCAGAGCAGCATAATAAATGAGGCCACTGTGCCAGGCTCCAGGTGGCCTCCCTGGCCTGTCTCCCCACTCTCTGGGCCTCAGTGTTTTGTGTGTGAAATGGAGCCATCTGGCTGGGGAGGAACAGAGAGGTGGGATTCGGAGATCTTCACAATGCGGACACTGGAACTAGCCTCAGCATCTTCAGCATGGGGAGAGCCAGGCACATGGCTGGGGGCCAGGGGAAGGTTCACACCAAACCCTGCCCCTTCCCACCCTGATCCCTCAGACTTTGGGGCCAGGCCCTCCCTTACTGGGGCTGGGCAGTGACACTACCTAGGATCAGCCACCAGGGGGTGTCACGACCCTGGCGCTTTCTTAGGCAGAGGGTGGCCAGCCGATGCTGGGAACCCGGGCGCCTTCTCAGACCCGTAGGCGTCCAGCTCACCCTGCCGATGACACTGGAGGTGAAGCTGAGGGTCCGAGGAATGGGGACTGGGCAACAGGCTGGAGGAAAACATCTCGGTCAGAGCCATGCCCCTGGGGGGTTCCCAAGAGCAAGCCCAGAGTGAAACCCAAGCTTGTGATCCTCTCCAGAGGGAGGCCTGGTTCTCAGGGAACAGCAAACGGGAAGATGTCCCCAGATCCCAGGGATCAGGGCTTGGACCAGCCGGGGACGCAGCCCAGAGGGAGTGGGTCCGGAAGGAAACAGCTCGACACAGCAGCCTTCACCATCGGCAGCCCCTCCAGGCCTCCCTCGGGGCCTGCTCCCTCCTCTGTGCACAGTTCCAACACCTGGAGCAGGGTTCTGGGAAGGGCTGGTGGAGGTGGGCTGGTGGGAGGCGGTGATCACAGCCCAGCACCTGGATATCACCAGGGGCACTGGGGCCAGGGGCCAGGTGAGGCCAGGTCGGGGCTATCCTTCAGGAGCCCCGAAAACCTGGTGATTCCAAAGGGCCCATAGACAAACAGGGTTTTATGCCTGTGGAGTCAAGTCCCACTGGGTCTGAGCTCTGGAGGGCTGTGTCTCTGGGGCTCTGCAAGGGTGAGATGGAGGTGGGCTCAACTGGTGTACAAGTCACTCTTCAATCCTTATTTTATTTATTTAATTTTTTTAAAAAAAATTTAAACCAATAGAGATGGGGTCTCACTATGTTGACCAGGCTGGTCTTAACTCCTGACTTCAAGCAGTCCCCCCATCTCAGTCTCCCAAAGTGCTAGGATTACAGGGGTAGCCACTGCACCCGGCCTCAATCCTTATATTGGCCTGAGAGGAAAGGCCGTGGCCCCATTTGCAGGGGAGAAGACTGAAGCTGGAGGGGCAGGCCTTGCTCTGGGTTGCACAGCAGGAAGAGAAGTGGGAGCTGGCCACGAGGCTTCCTGGACCCGAAATGCTGGTGGGGTACACCCTGGTTCTCTAGGTCCCATGGGGCTCAGCCCAGGACTACCTCGGGGGGTGAGGGACTTAAATCGTCTCCTTCATTCTCATCGCCCCTTCCCCCATCATTTCCTGAGGAAGGACATTCAGGGACCTGAAGGGGTGGCCTGCCCCTCCCCACCTGTGGGTGTTTCTCATCAGCTGGGACAAGAGACTGAGAAAAGAAAGAGACACAGAGACAAAGTATAGAGAAAGAAAAGTGGGCCCAGGGGACCTGCACTCAGCATACGGAGGCCCCACGCTGGCACCAGTCTCTGAGTTCCCTAGTATTTATTGATCATTATCTCTACCATCTCAGAGAGGGGGATGTGGCAGGACAATAGGGTAATAGTGGGGAGAGGGTCAGCAGGAAAACACGTGAACAAATGTCTCTGTGTCATAAACAAGGTTAAGAAAAAGGTGCTGTGCTTTGATGTGCATATACATAAACATCTCAATGCATTAAAGAGCAGTATTGCCACCAGCATGTCCCACCTCCAGCCCTAAGGCAGTTTTCTCCTATCTCAGCAGATGGAATATACAATCAACACTGAGACATTCCTTTGCCCAGGGACGATCAGGAGAGAGATGCCTTCCTCTTATCTCAACTGCAAAGAGGCCTTCCTCTTTTACTAATCCTCCTCAGCACAGACCCTTTACAGGTGTCGGGCTGGGGGACGGTCAGGTCTTTCCCTTCCCACGAGGCCATATTTCAGACTGTCACCTGGGGAGAAACCTTGGACAATACCTGGCTTTCCTAGGCAGAGGTCCCTGCGGCCTTCTGCAGTGTTTTGTGTCCCTGCTTACTTGAGATTAGGGAGTGGTGATGACTCTTAACAAGCATGCTGCCTTCAAGCATTTGTTTAACAAAGCACATCCTGCACAGCCCTGAATCCATTAAACCTTGAGTCGACACAGTACATGTTTCTGTGAGCACAGGGTTGGGGCTAGGGTTACAGATTAACGGCATCTCAAGGCAAAAGAATTTTTCTTACTACACAACAAAATGGAGCCTCTTACGTCTACTTCTTTCTACATAGACACAGTAACAGTCTGATATCTCTTTCTTTTCCCCACAGGGACCTTCCTGGCTGTGCCTCGGGTCAGGACCAGAATGACACCCATTCATTTCCCTGGGCCTTTGCTCGGGCGGTCCCTGCACCCTGGCCTCTGCCTGACGAGGATGGTGGGGAGAGGAGGGGGACGTCCCCCACACTGCTGTCTCCACTGTTCCTGCTGCCCAGGCCTCTGGGCTTCCAGGACTGCAGCGGGTCGGTGGGTGGGCTGGCCTGAGCCCAGGAATGCACTTCAGCTCCTGGTTGAGCAATGTCACTGAGGCTTGGGAGTCGGGTGGGGGCGGGAGGAGGCGTCCGCAGGCCCCCCTACCGTGAGAGGCAGCCGTGGGAACAGCCTACCTCTAAACAATCACTGCAGCCCAGGCTGGCCAGGGGCTCTGGCCGGACATAGGGGCCTGGCAGGCTGTGTGCCCTGTAAGGACACAGTCTGTCTCTGTGCCTCAGTTTCTCTGCTGCCCAGATGGAGGGGCCCAGACTCCAGGTGTAGACATCTGGAGCAGGCAGTGTTCAGTTGGGGAGGAAGCGGGGAGGACTGTGGGGGCCATGTGGGAAGGATTCCACCCCACATCACCTGCACCCCTGCTGAGCCTGGTCAACGGAGCCCCTCAGTGGGTCCTCACTCCCCTGGTTGCCTCCCATTTAGGCACCCTGAGGCCTGGGGAGAACAGAGCCAGGCCAGTGTCCCCAGAGAGGCTGCGCTGCCAGCACAGTAGTAGCGGATTTGGATTCAGGGAAGCAGACCTGCAGCCAGGGTGGGAAAGAGCTGCAGGTGGGGTGGGGCCCCCACATGGCACAGCCCCCCTCCCTGGAGGACCATGCTGCATTTCCAGGACAGCAAGTCCCAGGGATGGATGGTGCCTGGTGCCAAGGGCTAGAGGCATGGTCTGTCTGCATTTCCCACGTAAGTGTCTCGTAGTCACTAGCATTTGATGCTGTCAAGACCCCCTGTCCTCTGTGCAGACTGGGAAGCCCTTGGTCACCCTGGGGGAGTTGGGGGACCCAGGCCAGGCTGCAGAAGCATAAGGACTTGAACCCGGGTCCTGAGTGACACCACCTTGGGTCCTCCTCCTTCTGCCTCTGTTCAGCTCCACCTTGATGCTGACTAGGCTGGGCCATGCGGAGAGGGTTAGGGGATAGAGATGGGAGCTGGGGAGCAGGGCTCCACTCTGGGAGGGGGGCAGCCTTGCCGGATCCAGGGCAGAGTTAAGCGGCCCCAGCTCTGCTTTCCCAGAGCTGCTGAGAACCTGGGGAATGGTGTGGAGGTTCCAGGGAGCCCTGCCCCTACCTGGCAACCGCAGTGCAGCACGCACCAAGTTCTCCTGCACATTGCGACAGTGTGACCATGGGCTCTGGTGGGCGGTAGGTCGGGCCTTTGGACCTACCAGCAGTGAGGGAGTTAACACAGCAGCTGACTTCTCTAGGCAAAGAAAACTCCCCTCAGACGCTTTGCTGCCTGGCCTCCTGCCAGGAACAAGCAGGAGCTGAAAACTAGAAGTTGAGGCATGAGTTTGGCCACTCCGTAGTGTGCACTTGGTGAGGGCAGCAGCTCGCCACAGCTGCCAGCCATCTGTCCATTCACCCATCTGTCCATCTGGCAGCCCGCTGTTCAGACCTGTCTGTCTGTCCGCCCATCTGTAAGCCCATCTCTGTCCCATTGTCTATCTGACCATCTTTCTCTTACTGTCCTCTTTGTCTAGCTATCTGGCCTGTCTGTCGATCCATCTTCGTGTCTGTCTTCAGCCCCCACCTGTTTGTCCATCTGTCCAATTACCTGTGAGTCTATCTATGCATCTTCTTGTCCATTCATCTGCCCACCCATCTGTCCCTCCATCTGCCCACCGGCCTCCCCTCTCCTTCTGGGCCGCAGAGCCATGGCCCAGGACTACGGAGCCATGGGTGACCTGGTCCTGCTGGGGCTGGGGCTGGGGCTGGCGCTGGCTGTCATTGTGCTGGCTGTGGTCCTCTCTCGACACCAGGCCCCATTTGACCCCCGGCCTTTGCCCACACCGCTGTTGCTGCTGACTCCAAGGTCTTCTCAAATATTGTACGGTGAGTGAGACGTGGGAGGAAGCTGGGTGGCCTTTGGCAGCCAGCCCCTCCTGGAGAAGGCGTGTGTGTGTGAGCATGTGTGTGTGTGAGAGATTATGTGTGAGTGTGTGTGGGTATATGTGTGAGTGTGTTTGTGGGGTGTGGGTGTGTGTGAATGTGTGTGATCGTGTTTGGGTGTGTGTATGTGTGAGTGTGGGTGTGTGTGAATGTGTGTGATTGTGTTTGTGTATGTGTGTGTGGGTGTGTGTGAGTATATGTGAGTGTGAGTGTGTGGGGGTGTGGGTGGGTGTGAATGTGTGTGATTGTGTTTCGCTGTGTGAGGGTGTGTGTGACTGTGAGTGTGTGAGTGTGGGTGTGTGGGTGTGTGTAAATGTGTGAGTGTGAGTATGGGGGGTGGGTATGTGTGAATGTGTGTGATTGTGTGTGGGTATATTTGTGGGTGTGTGTGTGTGTGCACGTGTGTGTGTGTGCACGTGCACTGGCCCAGGAAGCAGGAGCCGTGTGTGTGGGCTTCAGCACCTGCAGGGCTTGAGCGCAAGGAGACAGCCTCAGGGCCCTTGCACAGAACAGGCGGCAGGGTGTGCCCGTGGGGCAGATGGGGACTTGGGGACAATGGTGGTGTGTGAGTCCATACCTGGCTCCAGGATTCAGGAGGCCCATTTGCATATCCCAGGTGGGAACCTGTCTGGCCCCGCCTGACCCTGCTGGCCGGTGCAGGCCCCTTCAGTGAGGCCAATTCTCCAAGGCTGCGGTCTTCTCCCAGGGTCATGGGTGAAGGGGTTTGGAGGCTCCCTGCGTGGGTACTGGCCTGCTGGGGTACACACAATGCTGCCATAGCCAGTCTGCCCCTACACCCAGCCCGGGGCCACATCTCAGGTCTCTCAGTCCTGAGGAGCCCGGTGCCCCACCCCTCACATCCTCTCTCCCTGAGTCAGGGCCTGGGTCTCGTGAGCTGAGTGACTGATACTTGGTGTCCTGGATGAGGGCGTGGTGGAGAGGGGCCACAGCGGGTGTTTCCTGACCCTCTTCCAGGAAGGTGCTGCTGCCGCTGCAGGGAGGACACACACAGGATGCCCCTTCTTGCCCCCTGCCTCCCATTGGGCCCACAAAAGCCAGGGCAAGCCTCCCCTCCCTGCCAGCCACCTGGTCTGCTTCCCAGAAATTCTGTCTTGCAGGCTGTTGGGAGGATCCCAGTACTTTGTAAACTAAAGCAAGGGAGGAGTGGCCGTTCTCTCTCTTTGTTCATTCATTCACCTTTTCATTCATTCCTTCTTCCCTCCATTCCCCCATCTGTCCATCCTTCCCTGCCCTGATTGCTCATGCCACCCCCCCAGCCCCTCCTGACCTGGTCCTTTGGTTTCTCTTCAGGGCTTTCTGTCTCCTCCCACAGGGCTGAGAATGGCAGCTCAGGGACAAGTGGGGGCTGGGGACTGCTTAGTCTCCCCAGTGGCTCTCAGGGGATTTGAGGGTTTGACGTCAGCTGCCACCCCAGGCTGTGCCCCTCCTCTGCTCGGGAGGACATACAGAGATGCGACACCCACTTAAACTCGAAGTTGCAAAGATGCAAATGAGACTGGGGTCTCAGGCACCAGAGACCACCCGTGGGCACGTGGCTTTTGGGAGTGGGGACCTGCTGCCACAGATCTCTGAAGAGTCTGGACCTGCTGGGTCTCCCCGAGTGACTGTCTGGGGGTCTCCATAGCATGCCCTGCTGTGTGCGTGACGGTCACTGGTTGGGTAGGGGTCTCTACTCTAAAGCTCCCTCTGCCGGCATCCCCTCGAACTCTCCCTTGGTGAAGAGAGGATGTGGTTTGCCCCAGTGTTTTATCAAACAACTCTCTCCACTTCCAGTTTTAAGAAGCTGGGAGTGGAAGAGAGCCTGGGGCTGGCCCCAGCTGCTGCTGTGAAACAGGGGTCACTGGACGCTGGGACCCTGGCCGGGCTGGCTGGAGGCCTCAGGAAGAGGCCTGCTACAGCGTCATCCTGGCCAAGATTCCTCCCTGCAGAGGACCCTGGCCACGCTGCCACAGGGTCTGCTGGGGCCACCAGAAGCCCATGCTCCTGCCTCCATCTCTCCCCTCTGTGCTCACCTCTCACCAGGAGGCCCTCCCAGAGTTCAGTGTCCTGCTTTTTTTTTTTTTTTTTTTTTTTTTTGTGACGGTGTCTCACTCTGTCACCAGGCTGGAGTGCAGTGGCGCGATCTCAGCTTACTGCAACCTCTGCTTCCTCGGTTCAAATGATTCTCCTGCCTCAGCCTCCTGAGTAGCTGGGACTACAGGTGCCAGCCACCACGCCCCGCTAATTTCTGTATTTTTAGTAGAGACAGGGTTTCACCATGTTGGCCCAGGATGGTCTCTATCTCTTGATTCACCCGCCTTGGCCACCCAAAGTGCTGGCATTACAGGAGTGAGTCATGGCACCCGGCCTCATCTCCTACTCTTTCAGCACCAGGTTTTATTCTTGGGATTCTGCTACAGCCGGAGCCCCTGGGTGCGAGTTCCTAAGGTTTCTGTGAGTGTGGACCCAGCACCGTGCCTAGTAGACATACAAAAGGAGCATGGTGACAGTGAGGTCTGTCATCTCCAGCATAATGACTGTTTTGATCCTTGTAAAAAAGGTGATTTTTGGCTGGGTGTGGTGGCTCACACCTGTAATCCCAGCACTTTGGGAGGCCGAGGGGGGTGGCTCACTTGAGGTCAGGAGTTGGAGACCAGCCTGGGCAACATGGTGAAACCATGTCTCTACTAAAAATACAAAAATTAGCTGGGCATGGTAGCAGGTGCCTGTAATCCCAGATACTTGGGAGGCTGAGACAGGAGAATCACTTGAACGCAGGAGGCAAAGGTTGCAGTAAGCCAAGATTGCACCACTGCACTCCAGCCTGGGTGACAGAGCAAGACTTGGTCTCAAAAAAAAAAAAAAAAAAGAAAGAAAAGTTTATATTTTTGTTCTAATGCTTATCTTAATATCGTCATTCTATAATTATATGTTTTATATAATTATAATAGCTATATAAGATATAATACCCCTAGTATGTTGTTTTTTGGATATTCTACTTGCTCCTGATGGTTAATTTATGTGTCAACTTGGCTAAGCTATGGTGTCCTGTTGTTTGGTCAAATACTTGTCAATATCTTGCTGGGAGGTTATTTCATAGATGTGATTAACACTGACAGTCAATTGACTTTAAGTAAAACAGATTACCCACCATAATATGGGTGGGCCACCTCCAATCAGTTGAAGGCCTTAAGAACAAAAACTGAGGTTTCCCAGAGAAGCAGGAATTCTGCTTCAAGACTGTAACACACAAACCCTACCTGAGTTTCTGGCCTGCTGACTGCTCTACAGATTTTAGGTTCCAGACTTCGAGATCAACTCTTACCTGAATTTATAGCCTGCTGGCTTGCCCTACAGATTTTAAAACTTGCTAGTCCCCACAATCATGTGAGCCAATTCCTAAATAAGTCTCTCTCTATGTATAATCTATTGGTTTAGTTTCTCTGAAAAACTTTCACATTCCAGTTTCCTGGATGTTAAGAATTACCGAAACTAGCTAGTAACTTCTTTTTTTTTTTTTTTTTGAGACAGAGTTTTGCTCTTGTTGCCCAGGCTGGAATGCAATGGCACAATCTCAGCTCACCGCAACCTCCACTTCCTGGGTCCAAGCAATTCTCCTCCCTCAGCCTCCTGAGTAGCTGGGATTACAGGCATGTGCCACCATGCTTGGCTAATTTTTGTATTTTTAGTAGAGACAGGGCTTCTCCATGTTGGTCAGGCTGGTCTTGAACTCCCAACCTCAGGTGATCCGCCGCCTTGGCCTCACAAAGTGCTGGAATTACAGGCACGAGCCATTGCGCCTGGCTCCTAGTAAATTCTTCTTTTCTGTGATGTGTCCCTTACCTCTAATAATACTTTTCTTCTTAAAGTCTACTTCATTAAAAATAGTTATGCTGGGCATGGTGGCTCATGGCTGTAATCTTGGCACTTTGCTGGAGGTCGAGGTGGGTGGATCACTGAAGCCCAGGAGTTCAAGACCAACCTGGGCAACATGGCGAGACCCTGCCTCTACAAAAAATACAAAAATTAGCTGGGTGTGGCTAGTATAATTCTAAGTTGGCACACTTGTAGTCCCAGCTACTTGGGATGCTGAGGTGGGAGAATCGCTTGAGCCTAGAAGGGAGAGATTGCTGTAAGCCAAGATCACATCACTGCACTCCAGCCTGGGAGACAGAGTGAGGCTCTATCTCCAAAAAAAAAAAAAAAAAAAAAAAAAAAAAGTTATACAGCTTTCTTGGTTAGTACATGCATGACATATTTTTCATGATCTTCCACCTCTCTGTACCCTTATATAAAAGGCATTAGTTGGGTTTTACTTTATTTTCAATTATTTTAATTTTTATTGTCCTTTTAAATGTAACTAATGATTTATTTGGGTTGAAACCCACCACCAATTTGTTTTCCATGCCTATTCTATTTCTTCTTATCTCCTCTCACATCTTGTTTTGGATTTATTATTTTTATTATTTAATTTCCTCCTTCTCTATTAGTTTCATAACTGTGCAGTCTTAGAGTTCTTTTAAAAGATGACTGGATTATTTTAGAGCTTACAACATGCATCCTTCCCTTATCAAAGTCTAACATGAGCTAGTACTTTTTGTTGTGGTTGAGATAGAGAGAGTCTTCCTCTGCTGCCCAGGCTGGAGTGCAGTGGAGCAATCTTGGTTCACTGCAACCTCCACTTCTTGGGTTCAAGCAATTCTCCTGCCTCAGTCACCTGAGTAGCTGGGACCACAGGTGTGCACCACTATGCCCGGCCAATTTTTGTATTCTTTTTCAGTAGAGACAGGGTTTCACCATGTTGGCCAGGCTGGTCTTGAACTCCGGACCTTAAGAGATCTGCCTACCTCGGCATCCTAAAGTGTTGGGATTACAGGCGTGAGCCACCGCACCCAGCCTATGAGTTAGTACTTCTATCCTCTTCCTAGTCAGTACAAGAACCTTGGAACAGGAACTAAATTTACCCCCAGTGACTTATATGCTAATATTTTTGTGTATTTTAAATATGTGTGTGTGCATAGATGTATCTGTGTGTTTTTTGTGTTTTTATTCTTATTTATGTTGAGAGTGTAGAGCTATGTAAGAGTAAAGAGAATTGTGTAATGAAGCCCCGAGTATCCATTCAATTTCAACAACAATCTTATGGCCAAGCTCATTTCATGTATACTCTTTCCTGCTTCCCTCTACCCCACATTATTTCCGTGCAAATCCCAGATATATAACTGTACCCATACATATTTCAGTATGTTTTATTTCTTTTAAACCCCACAAGATATCATTTTCTATACTACTGTAATTTTATACCAATAACATTCATTTAGATTTACCCACACGTTTACCCTACCCTCCGGGTCCTGTTTGAAAATCAAGCCCATGCTCACAGGCCAATTTTTTTTTCTTTTAGAGACAGGGTCTCACTTTGTCACCCAAGCTGGAGTGCAGTGGTGCGATTATAGCTCAATGCAGCCTCCAATTCCTGGACTCAAGGGACCCTCCTGCCTCAGCCTGCCAAGTAGCTTGGACTATAGCTGTATGTTTTATTATTATTTTGTAGACATGGGGTCTGGCTATGTTGTCCAGGCTATTCTCAAAATTCCCGGCCTCGAGCAATCCTCCTGCCTCGGCCTCTCAAAGGTTGGGATTACAGGTGTGAGGCAAGGCACCCAGCTCAGCCACAGAGCCCTGTTGCATCTCTCTTACTAGGAGCAAGAGCTGACTGCCCCCTCATCCCCATTCCAGAGTGTTGGGGCTGTGTTGAGCCGAGGCCAGGCCACTGGCATGGCCCAAGGAACGGGATCATTCACTGCTGCCCCAAATCTGACATCATTCCACCTTGACAAGACTTCCTCATCCAATCCCTTTACTTGACAGCTGGGGAAACCAACGCGCACAGAGCACCCCCAGCTCACTCGGGGTCTCAGAGCTGATCCATGAGCAGAGGCTGAGATCCTGGGATCTTGTCCCCCAGCCGCCCTGCAAGCTTACTCCCTTTCTGCTGGAAGAGATGGGGCCGGACCTCAACCAGCAGCCCTGGCCTGGACATGACTGTGCTCACCCAGGTATTGAGGCCGAGATGCCCCGGCATCATATGTTTTTCTCTTATTTTTTCTTTTTTTTTGAGACAGTATCTCACTCTGTCACCCAAGCTGGAGTGCAGTGGCATGATATTGGCTCACTGCAACCTCTGCCTCCCGCTTAAAGTGATTCTCCTGCCTCAGTCTTCCAAGTAGCTGGGCCTACAGGCTTGTACCACCACGCCTGACTAATTTTTGTATTTTTACTAGAGACAGGGTTTCCCCATGTTGGCCAGGCTCGTGTCGAACTCCTGACCTCAGGTGATCCACCTGCCTTGGCCTCCCAAAGTGCTAGGATTACAGGCATGAGCCATGGCATCACTTAAACGTAGTGAGAGGCCGGGCAAGGGGCTCATGCCTGTAATCCCAGTGCTTTGAGAGGACGAGGCTGTCAGATCACCTAAGGTCAGGAGTTCGAGACCAGCCTGGCCAACATGGTGAAACTGTGTCTCTACAAAAAAATAGAAAAAAAAAATCCCTGCGTGGTGGCAAGTATCTGTAGTCCCAGTTACTCAGGAGTCTGAGGCATGAGAATTGCTTAAACCTCGGAGGCGGAGGCTGCAGTGAGCTGAGATGGCGCCACTGCACTCCAGCCTGGGTGACAGAGCAAGACTTTGTCTCTAAATAATTAAATAAATAAATATGGCCGAGCATGGTGCCTTAGGCCTGTAATCCCAACATTTTGGGAGGCTGAGGCAGGTGGTTCATGAGGTCAGGAGCCCGAGACCAGCCTGGCCAAGATGGTGAAACACTGTCTCTACTAAAAATACAAAAATTAGCCAGCTGTGGTGGCAGGCACCTGTAATCCCAGCTACTTGGGACACTGAGGCAGGAGAATCGCTTGAACCTGGAAGGCAGAGGTTGCAATGAGCCGAGATTGCACCGCTGCACTCTAGCCTGGGCGATGGAGCAAGACTCCATCTCAACTAAATAAATTAATAAATACAGAGCAAGATTCCATCTCAAATAAATAAATAAATGTACACCTGTAATCCTAGCACTTTGGGAGGCTAAGACAGGTCGATCACCTGACGTCAGGAGTTCGAGACCAGCCTGACCAATATGGCAAAACTCCATCTCTACTAAAAATACAAAAATTAGCTGGGCGTTTTGACGTGTGCCTGTAGTCCCAGCTACTTGGGAGGCTGAGACAAGAGAATTGCTTGAACCCAAGAGGTGGAGGTTGCAGTGAGCCGAGATCTCGGCTGCACTTCAGCCTGGGTGACAGAGTGAGACTCTGTCTCAAAAGGAATAAATAAAATACAAAGTAAAAAAAAATGTAGTAAGATTGCAGAGTCGTGCCGCAGAAGCGTGCTGGTCCTATCCATGTAGTGAAGGCTGATTTCATACACAAATGTCACAAGAACTTTTCTTTTCTTTTTCTTTTTTTTTTTTTTTGAGACGGAGTCTCACTCTGTCACCCAGGCTGGAGTGCAGTGGTGCGATCTAGGCTCACTGCAAGCTCTGCCTCCCGGGTTTATGCCATTCTCCTGCCTCAGCCTCCTGAGTAGCTGGGACTACAGGCGCCTGCCACCTAGCCCAGCTAATTTTTTTGTACTTTTAGAGGAGATGGGGTTTCACCGCGTTAGCCAGGATAGTCTCAATCTCCTGACCTCGTGATCCGCCCGTCTCGGCCTCCCAAAGTGCTGGGATTACAGGCATGAGCCACCACACCCGGCCTTCTTATATGCTTTTATTGCATTTGAGCGTACCTCTTTTACAGCGAAGATCTTTTTTTTTAATTTTATTTTATTTTTAGAGATGGAGTCTTGCTTTGTTGCCCAGGCTGGAGCACTGTGGTGTGATCATAGCTCACTGCAGCCTTGAACTCCCGGGCACAGGTGATCCTCCCACCTCAGCCTCCTGAATAGCTGGGACTACAGGCATGCACCACCATGCCTGGCATATTTTAAAGATGTTTGTAGACATGAGGTCTCGCTATGTTGCCAGGCTTGTCTCAAACTACTGGGCTCAAGCCATCCATCCATTTCAGCCTCCCAAAGTGCTTGGATTATAGGCATGAGCACTGCGCCTGGCCATCACACTGTTTTTTTGGTTGTTTGTTTGTTTGTTTGTTTTGAGATGGAGTCTTGCTCTGTCGCTCAGGCTGGAGTGCAGTAGTGGGATCTCACCTCATTGCAAGCTCCGCCTTGTGGGTTCACGCCATTCTCCTGCCTCAGCCTCCTGAGTAGCTGGGATTACAGGCGCCCGCCACCACGCCTGGCTAATTTTTTGTATTTTTAGTAGAGACGGGATTTCACCGTGTTAGCCAGGATGGTCTCGATCTCCTGACCTCGTGATCTGCCCGCCTCGGCCTCTCAAAGTGCTGGGATTACAGGCATGAGCCAATAAATATTTTTATAATCATTAACTACCGAGGAGAAGCTGGAGAGAAAAAAGGTGGATGAAGTTAAGGCAGAGAGACTTTGTAAGTTTCTTGGCTGAGCTTTTGGAGACTGTATATCAGAGATCCTATTTGAGGTGATTTTCAGCTACAGAGATAGGCCTGGTCATTTGAAAAATAACGGATTAGGTGAAGCTTGCGTTTGAAATCCTCCTTCTACTTTTCATCTTTCTCTCTTGTTTATTCTGAGCATCCATCTTAGACACCCAATCTTTGTCACTTTGTGGTTGTCATTGATTTCCCTGTTATTGAGATTAGAGGTTGGCAGACTTTCTCTGTAAAGGGCTGGAGAGAAAGTACTTCAGACTTTGTGGTCTGTGCGGTGTCTGTTGCAACCACTTAACTCTGCCCTGTAGAGCAAAAGCAGCCGCAGACAGTACATGGGCAGATGAGCATGGCTGGGGTCCAGTTACATTTACTTGCAAAAAGAGGGTTGGAGACTGGGTGCGATCTCCCACCTTTAATCCCGGCACTTTGGGAGGCCGAGGCAGGAGGATCACTTCAAGCCAGGAGTTCAAGACCAGCCTGGGCAACAAAGCAAGACTCCATCTCTACAAAAAAATAAAAATTATTATAGCTAGGCATGGTGGTACACACCCGTAGTCCTAGCTACTCAGGAAGCTAAAACTGAGGCAGGAGGGTCAGTTGAGCCCAGGAGCACGAGGCTGTGGTGAGCTATTATTGTGCCAGTGCACTCCAGCCTGGTGACAGAGCAAGAACGGTCTCGTCAAAAAATAAACAAAAGGCTGGGCACGGTGGCTCCCGCCTGTAATCCCTGCACTTTGGGAGACTGAGGTGGGCAGATCATGAGGTCAGGAGATTGAGACCATCCTGGCTAACACGGTGAAACCCTGTCTCTACTAAAAATACAAAAAGTTAGCCGGGCGTGGTGGCGGGCGCCTGTAGTCCCAGCCACTCGGGAGGCTGAGGAGGGAGAATCGTTTGAACCTGGGAGGCGGAGGTTGCAGTGAGCCAAGATTGTGCCACTGCACTCTAGCCTGGGCTACAGGGCAAGACTCCATTAAAAAAAAAAAAAAAAAACCAGCAAAAACCAAACAAAACATAATGCATGTTCTCTCTTATAAATGGGAGCTAAACATGGGGACTCATTGACTTAAAGATGGCAACAACTGGGAACTGCTGGATGGGGAGGGAGGGGAGGGGTGAAAGGCCAACTGTTGGGGAGTATGCTCATATCCACGTGACAAACCTGCACATGTGCCCGCTGAATCTAAAATAAAAGTTGAAAGTAGATTTAAAAAACCCCAAGAGGGCTGGGTTTGGCTTGTGTGTCCATAGCTTGTTAACCTCCGCTTTAGATATTAACGAATAGAAACATAGTGCTTAACTTCCCAGGCCACCTATTTTGTTCCTCTCCAAGGTGATGGATAGATGAAGGCCTTATCCAGCCGCCTGGAAGTTTGCTGACGCTTGTCCTGTCACGGATTAATGAAGCATTGTTTTCTGATGAAGGTTTCATGCCGCTGTGCTGATGTGTCTTCTCTTCTCTCTAGGCAGGAAACTGCATATCTTCTGGTTTACATGAAGATGGAGTGCTAATGGAAATGCCCAAAACCTTCAGAGATTGACACGCTGTCATTTTCCATTTCCGTTCCTGGATCTACGGAGTCTTCTAAGAGATTTTGCAATGAGGAGAAGCATTGTTTTCAAACTATATAACTGAGCCTTATTTATAATTAGGGATATTATCAAAATATGTAACCATGAGGCCCCTCAGGTCCTGATCAGTCAGAATGGATGCTTTCACCAGCAGACCCGGCCATGTGGCTGCTCGGTCCTGGGTGCTCGCTGCTGTGCGAGACATTAGCCCTTTAGTTATGAGCCTGTGGGAACTTCAGGGGTTCCCAGTGGGGAGAGCAGTGGCAGTGGGAGGCATCTGGGGGCCAAAGGTCAGTGGCGGGGGGTATTTCAGTATTATACAACTGCTGTGACCAGACTTGTATACTGGCTGAATATCAGTGCTGTTTGTAATTTTTCACTTTGAGAACCAACATTAATTCCATATGAATCAAGTGTTTTGTAACTGCTATTCATTTATTCAGCAAATATTTATTGATCATCTCTTCTCCATAAGATAGTGTGATAAACACAGTCATGAATAAAGTTATTTTCCACAAAAGGACTTTGCAGTTTTAACGGGGGGCAGTAGGGCTTGTGCTATAGAAATTCAAAGGCAAGGGAAGTCACTTCTGTTGTGGGGCCCTGGGAGGAGCCTCCAGGCTGGAAAGGCTTAAGGTGGAGGTCTCCGATAGGGGCAGCGTACACAGTGGACTGGCTGCAAAAGGCCGTGCTCAGCATTCAGACAGCATCACACACTCCGCTTTTCTCTACCAGGGAGGCAGGTGGGGAAGGATAGCGATGGGAAGGCAGGCGGAGCTCAGAATGTGGAAGGGGATCCAGTAAGGCTTGGAAGTTTGCACCTGATCTGGTGGGTGGTGAGGAGCCCTTGAAGGGGCAAGGAGGCGAGGAGCACTCAGCTGTGTTCTTACACTGATCTGCCACTGGGGTTAGAGACAAACGTGGTGGGAATGGAAAGCCACGCACAGTCACTAGCGCCTCTGGGGGGAGAATGGATGTGGCTGGTGAGAGAACAGGGGGGCCCAGGGAGAGTCCGGCACCAACCTGGGCGGGGGAGCCCAGTGGGTGTGAGCACCCCCACTTTAGAGATGAAGTGATGGAGACATTCAGATGTTTAACCCCTTGTTCAAGATTCCATACTTGATAAATGGCAGATCAAACTCCCAACATAAAATGTGGGTCATTTCTTTATTATTTTATTTGTATTGGTTAACAATGATCAGCCATGCAAGAATAAATGATTATTGTAAAATCTGCAAACAATGTAGATATGTAGAGAGTCCCTTCCTTGGAGCTTGACCTTGTCAGACAGGTATAGATGAGTGTTCCGGGGCAGCCGTAAAAACTGCCAGAGACTGGGCTGCTTATAACAGAAACGCATGGTCTCCCAGAAGCCCACATTCAAGGTGTCCAAAGGCCTGGCTCCTGGAGGCTCTGGAGGAGAGCCTGTTCCCTGTCTCTCAGCTTCTGCCGGTTGCCAGCAAGTGTTGCCGTTCATTCACTCCAGCCACTGCCTCCATCTGCACACAGCAAAACAGCGTATCCTGAAGTGCTCAACCTTATAGCCATTATTTTAAAATATCCGGAACACACAGGACCGTGGGAGTGGCTGTTGGAGAAATTTTCATGAAGGAAGAAAGATTACAACTAAGTTTTAAAATGCTAGTTTTGTTTGTTTTGTCTTGGAGAGGAGGTAAAAGTGGGAGTAAAAATAGGGAGTTTGGTGTAAGGTGGGAAAAGCAAAGGAACCCCGCATGGATGGGCTGAAGGGTGTGATGGGAGAACAGTGAGAAGTACGTTTGGGGAAGCAATTGGAAATAGTAGCTAAGCTTAATCACAATCTATCAAAAGGGACTTGTTGAAGAATTAATGTGTGACTAGGAACAGGGAGGTTATGGGCTTGTCAGCTCGACAGCGGGCACTCAGTTCCACTAACGAATGATGCCCGTGTGGACAGACAGAATGATGGACAGGCAGATGAATGCGTGGGCTTTATGTGAAACAGGTCCTCTTGGTTGTTGACAAGATACTGTTTTAAAGTTCCATTTTGCCATACTTCGAACAGCTTGTCATTAGCTCAATTTAGCCACATGTAAAATCACTAAGGCGGACTTCCAGAGTTCCCACATGAAAATCAAATGTAAACCAGCAGTGACCTGCTTCAACACCATCATCGGAAGTCAGAAGTTGAACTCTTTTTTGATGTTTAAAGCCTGCATAATATTCGCTGTATTATTATTCAGCATATTACTATTTCCTTCGTGATGGAAATTTGGTTTATCCCAATTTTCTATTCCATCAAAACACCGCTACATAGAAAATCCCCATGCACATATTTCTCCTAATTGTGGAAATATTTTACATAAAAGACTCTAGACATGGGATGAAATTCCCAGGTTATTGGAATTTTAAAATAGATAGGTACTTCCAAATTGACCTCTTACAAATTATATGAATTCGTAAGCTTCCAACTGTTATGGAGTTACCCATTTTGAGAAATCTGTGCTAAAAGGACCCAAACAATGCTGATGACAATGATCAGGATAATAAGTACGCTGGGAAGACAACAAAATGATTTAGATCTTAGACAAGTCATTCTAGGTGTCTCCACTGTTTCAGTTCTTGCGTTCGTTCATTCTTGTGCTTTTTCGTTTTACCAAATAAAATAGCTCCTTGATGTCATAGGAATCCACGCTATGCTTAATGAGTATTGGTTAGTAAAATGCCTATAACTAGTAATCTTCATCTATGCAATTAAATATTAATTCATAAAACACTTCAAATGTAAACAATAATTAGTAAATGAAAAGTACATAATACCTCAATTAGAAAAAAATCACTCCATTAAAAAGACATTATTTGTGTGATAAAAGAGATTGCTATTTTTGTATTTTTCTACAAGGTTAAAGAAAACTAAGTCAACTTATACAAGTGAATTTTAAAAGACTTTAGGGCAGGCGTGGTGGCTCACACCTGTAATCCCAGCACTTTAAGAGGCCGAGGAGGGCAGATCACCTGAGGTCAGGAGTTCGAAACCAGCCTGACCAACATGGTGAAATCTCATTTCTACTAAAAATACAAAAAAATTAGCCCAGTGTGGTGGCATGTGCCTATAATCTCAGCTACTTGGGAGGCTGAGACAGGAGAATAGTTTGAACCTGGGAGGCGGAGGTTGCAATGAACCAGGATCGCACCATTGCACTCCAGCTTGGGCAACAAGAGTGAAACTCCATCTCAAAAATAAATAAATAAATAAATAAATAAAATAAATAAAAGCCTTTAACCCAGAATGCTGAGTAAATTGGCCAAAAATGCTAACCTATGCATTTCAATACTATAGGAGTCGCATGGGTAGAAATAACCAGATGAAATACTTCTGGTATTTCACCTTCCCAACCCACACGAGCCAGTGTTTTTCTGTGAATAACAAAAACAGCAGAATTTACTTGCCTCACCATAAGAGGTTACCACTTCTGTGTGTTCCCCCGAAACAGGTGGTGGCTGGGTGAGAAGGTGGACAGCACTAGGGCAGGAGATGGGGGCTCCAGTATCGTGGGTGAGCTTCCTAAACCTCTGCAACTTTCAGCCCCTAAATGGGATGAGCCATCAGAATTTTTAGCACAATGCCCAGAACAAAGTAAGGATTTGACAAATGACGCCTCTCTCCACATTGTTCTGTCATCAGCCACCGCATCCTGTACCTCCAAGTCCACTGGGCTCCGGCTGTTTCCATCACATGGAGAATGACTCAGAGCCTGGCCTCCAGCCACCCTCCTGGCCTTTCTGCTTCTCACTCTGCCACTGGCTCCTCATGGACCACCAGCCTGGGTGTCCTCAGACATACCACACACTTCACTGTGGGAGTCACGCAGCCCTCACTGCTCCTTCGCCAGGGAGCCACGGGGCTTTCCTCCTCAGGAGGACTCTGCAAGCAGCTGGATGAAGGGCCCTCCCGTCTCTCATCCTTCCTTAATTTTTGTCACAGTTCTCCTTCCTTCCACTCAGTGCAGCGCACACTGATTGATCCTCCATCTTCCCCAAAAGACAGGAACAGCATGAGCAGTGGAGAGTAGATTCCAATGATAGAAAAAATAGTCAGTGATTTCTCATTTCCATTGATCATCAATGAAGAAAATGTATCCTGAAGGTCATGTACCTCCTATGGGACTGCTGCATCCTCAGCCTCCTGAATTTCAGCCCAGCACCTTCCTCCCCAGCACAGCAACAGGTCAGCCCTTACCAGCATCCCTCTCTTATTGCCTTTGTGCAGAGCCAGCACCAGGGCCAGGGGAGGCCTTGGGATTGTCCCTCCCCAACAATCTGTGAAACAATCCTTTATGTCACCAACAAAGCACAGCCTTCTGCACTGGTGGTCAGTCCCTCTCAACACCTCTGTCACTGTAAAGCTGGCAGGCAACCCTCCAAGGTTGGCCTTCCCAAGCACTGCACCTCTAGGTGACAGAGCACGTCCTTACCTTGAAGCCTGGGCGCCCAGTCTATCCTGTCCAATGAGCGAGCTGTGGAGAAGGGGGGATTCCGGGTTAAGGGGAGACTAGCAGGGCTCCTGCTTTTATGTTGCCCTGTTGGGAAGGCTATTAAAGAAACACAAAGTGCTAAGCAGTGAGGATAGAACATGTTTTCATTATTTCAACCAATACATTCCACAGATGGAATAATAAGAAATGCTACAACCAAGCTAACTGAATCCAACAGCATATCAAAAAGATAATCCACCATGATTCAAGTGGGTTTCATACTAGGGATGCAGGGATGGTTTAACATACGCAAGTCAATAAATGTGATACATCACATCAATAAAACTAAAAACAAAAATCACATGATAATCTGAATAGATGCAGAAAAAGCCTTTGACAAAATCCAGCATTTCTTTATGATTAAAACCGTTCGTCACAATCAGCATAGAACGGACATACCTTAAGGTAATAAAAGCTATCTATGACAAACCCACAGCCAACATTTTCCTGAATGGGGGAGAGTTGAAAGCATTCCCCCTGAGGAAGGGAACAAGACAAAGATGCCCACGTTCACCGCTTCTCAACACAGTGCTGTTCACTACAGCATTGGTTATAAGAGCAAGACTGGAAACAGAACAAATGGATACCCATAGCGGGGTGCTTAAGTAATTTTGGGAATAGTCATGGGGTGCAGTACTTTATAGCTCTGAAACAATACAATGGATTTACATTTGAAATGTGGAATGATAACTAAGGTGCATTGCCCAGTGATATATGCAGAGGTGCAGAGGACTTTGTGTAAACACGATCACACATCAGCCTGCATTCCAGGTGCATGCTTCTATTTGCACATAGATTGCAGGGATGATATGCAAACAAAAATGTTGACTTGGTGTTTGGAAGTTCAGAGTGGAAGGGAAACTTCCTTGCTAACCTTTTATGATATTTAGAGTTTCTAAATGTGAATACGTAATACATTTAGAAATCTTAGTTAATAAGAAAAGCCTCTGTTCCTGGCCTCTTGCTGGCACATGTCAGGTGGAAATGGGGCTGTCATGCTAATGTGTGCAAACTGAGAAAAATCCAAGAATGGGAGTCTGCTTTTTTCATCATACAAATAATTGTTAATAGAAACAGTATGATAATTGCTCATTGATATACCATGCATATTCTATTAGATAATAATAAATTTCTGAAATTTGAACTATACTTACACATGGAAATTGAAATATATGGATGAAACATTGTGGCTTATATAGGCAATTGTTTTATTGGCATTTTACAAACTGATCATCATTCCTCATGGCACGGGTCCATGTGATATTAAGTAGCTTGTTATGCTTGGGAAAGGCAGTGATGACCACAAGAATGACTTCAACTACTAAAGTACAATGGAGATTTCAACAATGTTTTGTTTAATATTTAAATATTTCATTGTGCTCCCAGGCTTTTTCTCACCCTAATAGCTCTCATCCATATCATGTGGGTCCCATTAATACAGATACCTCCGAATGCACCACTCTTCCATTATATCCAGTCAATTGCTGGTTACCTTGGGCCTACAACTGGGGGAGGGCAGGGGCTGCTGGCCACCTCCTCATCTACAGTAAGAGTCAATGAGCAGTTAAGTGGATACTGAAAACCATTTATCCTGCTGGAGTGAGAAATAAATGGTTTCTTTCAATAGCGTAGTAAAATGCATCTTTTCCAAACTATTTATATGACTCAAGGCCCATCTCAATTTCAGATGTGGTTAGCCTCAATTCCTGATTCTCACCAAGGTGTGTAATGTCATCCACGGCCCAGTGCAGAGGAACACAGGTGCTGCCGTCAGACTGCCAGGGTCCAATCCCGCCTCCTCACTCACCCCGGGAGATCCCTTTAAGCCAGGAGTCAACAGTGAGGATGGAAACATGAGTGCTTTTTAAAGTCCTGAAAGTTCAGAGGCAGACTGTCAATTTCTCCTCCACCCCTGGGCACACACCAGGAGAACTCTGTCTCCAGGTTGAAGGAAGTGCCTGTGAGAGAGTTGTGTCCCTCAGATTCTGTTCACCACAGGTGACACTCGATGCAACCCCAAACCTCTTCTGCACAATCCCAAGGGGTGCTGACTAATCCAACCCAAAGGCTGTGATGTTTGGCAGAGGCAGAAAAGAAAAGGCCAGGTGTTCTGGGAAAGACCACCTTTAAATATCACAGCACCCTCATAGCCCAGAGAGACAGTTCTAACTATTATGCCAATAAACCCGGAAAAGACCAAATCCAATATGACACATATTTCCTGTTTCCTTTTGATTTCATGCCCCCTCCCTTAACCTCCCAAGCAGCATGGATACCCCGAAGGCCCCTGGGAACTCTCTCCAATTGGATCTTACGTGGAAAGTAGTTACCTACCTACAAATCCCCATCATCAGATATGCTCTCCACAATCAAATCTTTAGAAACACAAACACCAGGATAAGTCATTAGAGAGAGGCCCACCCACTCCTCCCACCCTAGCTGAAGCCATGGTGCTTCGCACAGGATCCCCTGGTGTTTCCTCTGGGCTCACAGATATCCCTACAGCCTCTCTGGACATTGTTTTATACTTGCAAAATCATTTGCTCTCACCAGACTCCAAATCCTCCTTCCCAAAAGGAGCCCAGAATCAGGTTTCTGTACCCTAGAGATGGCGTTTTTTCCTCAGGAAGTGAGTTATTTCAGGGTAGGTATCATTCTCCAGTGTCAATGGCTCCTGCAATTATAGAAAAGAAAACATTAGGAGGGTGAAATGATGCCATACACGTCACACAGATCTGATAGTCTCTCGACAACTTGAGAGAGAAAATAAGAAGGGGTATAGTGATTGAGTCAAAGGTCAAAGTCCCCCAAAACTGGCACGGAAGACACCTGTGGAAAAGACAAGACCTTTTCCCACAGAATTTATCTTTAAAGTGTATCTAGATTGGCAGTTTCACAACTCTTAATCCATGGGGGAAAACTGCTGTGGAGGGAAACACCTCTGCATTGCAGTGGATCGTGGATGCTGCCATCTACCACACCCCAGTGTGCCTGGCATGGGTTGGTGAGAGGCTGCCAATCAATAGCACCACACCAAGGGAATTGCAGATGTCATAAATAGTCCACATTGGCAGATGTTCATGTCTACATTTGATTAAACTGCAGATGACATCCATAATGCACACTGGCAGATGTTCATGTCTACATCTGATTGGAAAGAAGCCAGGAAAGTAACATTTCTGTTCAAGACAAAGAAAAGTGTCTTACATTGGCAGCATCTTCTTTTTTACAGATGTCTTGTACAGTGTCCTCATTAGCAATGTCATATACAGCGTCCTTATTAGCGAATTCGTATACAGCATCCTCATTAGCGATGCCATATACAGCGTCCTCATTAGCGATGTTGTATACAGCGTCCTCATTAGTGATGTCGTATAGAGCGTCCTCATTAGCGATGTCATATACAATGTCCTCATTAGCGATGTCATATACAGCAACCTCATTCGCTATGTCTTGTAAAGCATCCTCATTAGCGATGTCATATACAACGTCCTCATTAGCGATGTCGTATACAGCGTCCTCGTTAGTGATGTCTTGTACGGTGTCCTTATAAGCAATGTCGTCTACAGCGTCCTCGTTAGCATGCCTTGTGGGTGTCATTAGCGATGTCATATACAGCATCCTCATTGGTGATGTCTTATATGGTGTCATTAGCGATGTTGTGTACAGCGTCCTCGTTAGCAATGCCTTGTACAGTGTCCTCGTTAGCAATGTCATATACAGTGTCCTCATTAGCGATGGCTTATACACTGTCCTCATTAGCGATGTTGTGTACAGCATCCTTGTTAGTGTGCCTCGTACGGTGTCATTAGCGATGTCGTATACAGCGTCATAATTAGCGATGTCTTATACGGTGTCATCATTAGTGATGTTGTGTACAGCGTCATCGTTAGCGATGCCTTGTATGGTGTCCTCATTAGCGATGTCGTATACAGCGTGCTCACTAGCGATGTCTTTTTTTTTTTATATATACTTTAAGTTTTAGGGTACATGTGCACATTGTGCAGGTTAGTTACATATGTATACATGTGCCACGCTGGTGCGCTGCACCCACTAACTCATCATCTAGCATTAGGTATATCTCCCGATGCTATCCCTCCCCCCCCCACCCCACAAGAGTCCCCAGAGTGTGATATTCCCCTTCCTGTGTCCATGTGATCTCATTGTTCAATTCCCACCTATGAGTGAGAATATGCGGTGTTTGGTTTTTTGTTCTTGCGATAGTTACTAGCGATGTCTTATACGGTGTCCTCATTAGCAATGTCGTGTACAGCGTCCACGTTAGCGTGCCTTGTCGGTATCATTAGCAATGTCGTATAAAGCGCCCTCATTGGTGATGTCTTGTACGGTGCCGTCATTAGCGATGTTGTGTACAGTGTCCTTGTTAGTGACGGCTTGTATGGTGTCCTCGTTAGCGATGTCGTATACAGCGTCCTCATTACCGATGCCTTGTATGGTGTCCTCATTAGCGATGTCGTGTACAGCGTCCTCGTTAGCGTGCCTTGTACGGTGTCATTAGCGATGTCATATACGGCACCCTCATTAGCGATGTCGTATACGGAGTCCTCATTAGCGATGTCGTGTACAGCGTCCACGATAGCGTGCCTTGTCGGTATCATTAGCAATGTCGTATAAAGCGCCCTCATTGGTGATGTCTTGTACGGTGCCATCATTAGCGATGTTGTGTACAGTGTCCTTGTTAGCGACGGCTTGTATGGTGTCCTCGTTAGCGATGTCGTATACAGCGTCCTCATTACCGATGCCTTGTATGGTGTCCTCATTAGCGATGTCGTGTACAGCGTCCTCGTTAGCGTGCCTTGTACGGTGTCATTAGCGATGTCATATACGGCACCCTCATTAGCGATGTCGTATACGGAGTCCTCATTAGCAATGTCGTGTACAGTGTCCACGTTAGCGTGCCTTGTCGGTGCCATTAGCAATGTCGTATAAAGCGCCCTCATTGGTGATGTCTTGTATGGTGCCGTCATTAGCGATGTTGTGTACAGTGTCCTTGTTAGCGACGGCTTGTAGAGTGTCCTTGTTAGCGATGTCATATACAACGTCCTCATTACCAATGCCTTGTATGGTGTCCTCATTAGCGATGTCGTGTACAGCGTCCTCGTTAGTGTGCCTTGTACGGTGTCATTAGCGATGTCATATATGGCATCCTCATTAGCGATGTCGTATACGGAGTCCTCATTAGCGATGCCGTGCACGGCATCCTCGTTAGCAATGCCGTGGGCAGCATCCTCGTTGGCGATGCCGTGGGCGGCGTCCTCCTTGGCGATGCCCTGGGCGGCGTCCTCGTTGGCGATGCCCTGGGCGGCGACCTCGTTGGCGATGCCCTGGGCGGCGTCCTCGCTGGCGATTCCGTGGGCGGCGTCCTCGTTGGCGATGCCCTGGGCGGCGTCCTCGTTGGCGATGCCCTTGTCGGCGGCCTCGTTAGCGATGCCGTGGACAGCGTCCTCGTTAGTGATATCGTGTGAGGCATCCTCGTTAGTGATGTTGTGTACGGTGTCCTCATGGGGAGCTAGAAGAACACAGAGTTAAGGTCAGTGCCCTGGTAGTGGAGACTGTGAATCACCCAGGGGCTTGCTTGGTGTGGTGCATGGAGGTGGCTGATCACAGCATGGGCCAAGCTGATGCTGGGACATCCTCCCAGGTGGACCTGCACTAGTGAAGCTAAGGGATGTGGCTCAGAACACTTTCTGCAGTGGGCATCAGTTTCCAGGTTCAGGTATGCATTATCCAGTGAAGTGGGGAAATATAAAAAATAAAAATTGACAAATTCATGAAAAGCCTTCCATGAGTGCAAGTGTGAGTTTTTTATCCACTTTACATTCAGTATGCATTCACACATACAAAATATTTTTACAAGAAATCAGAAATTTTAATTTTTGTCAGTTATGCGAAATCTAACTTAGCTGCCAACATAAAGATTCTATCTCATTTACTTGGTCTCGAGAAAATCTAGCACATAGTAAGTAGACCAAAATGTTCATTAAATGAAAACACAGAGCAGAGATAGGGGGGCTGCTAGGCAGACTGGGTTGCACCTGATTACCTGGATGATAATTAACTGCACAAAACCTCGGTCAAATTAATATTGAAACTGCCTTTTGCTTGGGCTCGTTTCCCTTGCGGAAGAAGGATGACCAAGGAGATGAACAGGAAAGAAATGAGAAACAGAGGCCTTTGCCTAGTAGCTAAAGGCCACCTTCTATAACACGAAATAGCCTTGAACTCTGCCGTGATTTAGTGACAGAGTTCCCTCGTGTCTTCTACCCAGGTTGAAGTCCAGCAAAATTGCGACTGTCCTCTTTACAACTTGCGAGACCACACTGCTTCTGCATTTGCCTGTTGTATGTATGAGATTTACACTTGTTTTAAAGCAACATTTTGTTTCAGTTGGGCTGGTGGCCATACCCGGCACTAGCCAGTCAATAGTGAGATGGCTCCTCATGGAGGAGGCTTGGCTTGAGGCTGAGGGTCTTTAACCCACATATACAAGAGAGTTGCCACTAAGGGATGGAAGCCAGGCTAATAACCAAGTGCCACACAGAGTTCCTATCTGTCCCTCCTCACCATTTTTGGCTGGCAGGATTTGAGCATTTTAGGGCTTGGGAAGATAGTATTACTAAATCTACTAAAATACATCACCCATCCTTATAGACTTTGGCCAGTTGCTGAGCAAATTAACTTCACAACTGAAGTGGGCCACACTGGCCTTTGTGGTCCCCCACTCCTCTTAGAATTTGTGAGCGTGGGGCCTACTGGAGGGTGGGAGGTGGGAGGAGGGGGTGGATCAGGAAAAATAACTGATATTAGGCTCAATATATGGGTGATGCAATAATCTGTACAACAAACTCTCATGACACACATTTATATATGTAGCAAACCTGCACATCCTGCACATGTACCCCTGAACTGAAAAGTTAAATAAAAAAAAAAAAAGGATCGGTGAGCTGAGCCAAACACCTGGGGATCTTTGTGCTTTTGACACACTGATGACTATGCCTGTCCGTGGGGAGATGAACCCATAACTGCCCTGGGTTGTGTGACCACGGAGGCCACTTTATGATGATGGGCAGTGTCTGGGGCCTTTTGGGCTCGGTGCCTTAGGGTTTATACATGAATGCTGGACTCCCTGTGTGGTGGTGAACACCCCATGACTAAGTGCATGTCAGCGTCAGCACTGGCCCACACTCCTGGGTTCGTGTTTTCACTTTTTCATTCAGGAACTCGGGAGCTGGGGCCACTCCCTTGGCCCTTCAGGTTCTCCACCTGAGCAGTGGGGATAATAAGGCAGACCCGGGGATGGCTCTGGTGAGGGTGGAGGAGTCACTGTACAGAGAGAGTAGAGCGGG
Source organism: Homo sapiens (assembly GCF_000001405.40). Lineage (NCBI taxonomy): Eukaryota > Metazoa > Chordata > Mammalia > Primates > Hominidae > Homo > Homo sapiens. Next base: position 18,372,551 of record NC_000022.11, read on the forward strand.
GGTGGATTTTATTGTTAGAAGTGGACACTGGTGATTGGGTTGTATAAATGGGAAATCTCTCCTGAGAAAACACACAGCCTCACCTGTACAGAAACACACACATTCACACCACACGATGCAGCCTCACACAAGACACCACCAATCCTCAAGCACCCAACTCAGCACCACCCAAAAGGGAGCACAGCTGCTTCCTCAAAATTTGGCCATAATTTTTCCCTGGGGAATTCAGGTTTTAAAAAAACACTTCCCCTATACTTATTCCTATCACAATCCCAGGATCAGGGTGGCTCTTCACATTGAAACCAGGCAAGGATGCCACACCTTTCTTGGCATCCAGATTGTTTTCTTGGTAAGTGATTCCAGAATACTTACTAGATTCACGCCTCAGAGGGGCCACCTGCACCACCTGCAATACAGAAACAAAGCTTTTTGAGGGGTATGTCATGTTGTGGATTGTTTGCACAAGGCTGTGTTTCTCTCAATGAATATTGAAAACTTGATCAGAAAGTGTAGTCAACTTCAAGGCCTCCAAAACAAGGGTAGGATACACACTGGAAAAGACATCAGCTTCTGGATGGCGGATCTCTCAGGTCCACGTAGGTTGGCAAGTGCAAAATACTGAATCCAAGGAGAAGACATTGCTTCCAAGGACAAGGACCCCAAGGATACAGTCTACAACCTGAAGCCATCATAGCTAAATGCCATTTTGGATTACATATCAGTTGCTAAGAGTCACTTCTTCCTCCCCCTCAGAAAACTGCATTTAATACCTGTCATGGACATTGTCATCTTTTCACATGTAAAGTCAGTTGAAAAAGAAAGACAACAAGAAAGGAACATTTCTATTTCAGAGAAAGCAAGGCAACCTTACCTTCACGTTGACTGGCCTCTCTCCATCTCCTCTGTCCTTGTGAACTAGAGACTCCTCAGAGGCTAGGAGGACACAGAGCAACAGTTAGTCATAGATGCTTTTGTTCATGAGCTATTCAGGGAGCTCTGCTTAATGTGGACAACAGGACAGTGTGTGTGGATGTGTTTCATTAAAAGCACAGCTTGAGCTCCTGCTAGAAAATCCTCCCTCGTGGAAAGACAGGCAAGAACGAGGAGCTAAGGAGCAAGAAATAGAGTCCCTGGCATTTTGCTGATGGCAACTTAAGGCAATGGGAATGAGTCAGTCTACAAATGGTACTGAAGCACATGCTATAGTTTGATGAGAGTCCCACTGCTCACACTGTGAGGTTTGAAACCCAGCTAAATGGTTTTCTAAACCTGTAAAAACAATATTACTTGCAGGATTTATGTCCCAAGACTACTTTTACCTCTGAGGATCCACAGTGGCTGTCACTGCAGTTATTATGTGTTTTAGCATTTTGCACTTGAATAAAAGCAAAGTTTAATAGACAGATTGGATTCAATTCTAGGCAAAACAGTCTATGGTATTTATTCACTAATCCTTTGTTATAACTGCTGATGGGAGAATTAGAAGTACTGAAATTATATCCTTTAAAATTAATTAAAGCATAATTATTAATCACACAATATTTTTTCATCCAGGCCTCCTTTTCTTTGTCATGCATGCATATTAATTGAGGATGGAGAATATCTACGCTTGTTCAGGCCAGCCAACATACGACAGTTTACTTCAAGACAGGAGACATGGGTTGAATGCTGGTATGTTTTAACTCTGCAGCGCAAACAGTTGCAACAAGTGTGGTGAACTAATCACCAGATGGCCCTTTGCTGCCTTATTTGTCATTGTGCCTTACATGTAGCTTGCAGGATTTGATTACGCTTATGTTTTGTGGTGATCATACTTTCAACTATTCCTAAAATACTGCTTCAGTCTTATCTGTTTGGGGTCAACTGCTGAGGATTTCATACAAATTAATGAAGTTTGTGAATCTAAAGTTCTACACAAAGGGGGAAATATTTGCAAATCATTTATCTTGTAAGAGACTAAAATTTAGAATATTTTTAAATATATTTAAGATATATTCAAAAATCTACAGCAACAAACTAACTAAATAAAAATCAGACAACTCTTTAAAAATGGGCAAAAGACTTCAACATATATTTCCCTAAAGAAGATATAGCCACAAATAGTAGCACAGGAAAAGCTGCTCAGGATCATTAGTCATTAGGGAAATGCAAATGAAAAACACAAGCAGCCACCAATATACACCTACTAGGATGATTTAAAGGAAAATAAGTGTGAACAAGGATGTAAAGAAATTGTAACCCTGATACATTGATGGTAGAAATGGATAAAGTTGCAGCCACTGTGAAAAACAGTCTGCAGTGGCTCAGAAGGTTAAATATAGAACCCCTGTTGGACCCAGGAACTCTACTCTTAGGCACCCCAAAGAATAGAGAACAGAAATCAAACAGATGTTTGTATACTAATGTTTGTAGCATCACTTTTCACAGGAGCCAAAAGGTGGAAATAATCCAACCATCAGTGAACAAATGAATGTAATAAAAGCAAGGTGGTCTGCATGCAATGCTACATCATCCATCTGTAAAAAACGAACATCATTTTGATAGATGATACAACATGGGTGGACATTGAGAACATTATGCTTAGTGAAATAAGCCAGACACAAAAGGAATATATTGTATAATTGTAATTACATGAAGTGCCTAGAATAGTCAAATTCATACAAGAGAAAGTCGGATAGGAATCACCATGGGCTGGAAATAGGGGGAAGGCGCTATATTGCTTATTGTGGACAAGGTTTTGTAAGAAATCATCAAAATTGTGGGTGTAGATAGTGGTGTTGGTTATGCAACCCTGTGAATATATTGAATGCCACGGAGTGCACACTTTGGTTAAAAGGTTCAAATGATAAATAATGTGTTATATATATTTCCCCACGATAGAAAACATGCACAGCCAAGCCCAGATGCCAGTCTTGTTAGCTGCCTTCCTTTACCTTCAAGAGTGGGCTGAAGCTTGTCCAATCTTTCAAGGTTGCTGAAGACTGTATGATGGAAGTCATCTGCATTGGGAAAGAAATTAATGGAGAGAGGAGAAAACTTGAGAATCCACACTACTCACCCTGCAGGGCCAAGAACTCTGTCTCCCATGCATTGCTGACCCATCTCAGTATTTCCTGTGACCACCTCCTTTTTCAACTGAAGACTTTGCACCTGAAGGGGTTCCCAGGTTTTTCACCTCGGCCCTTGTCAGGACTGATCCTCTCAACTACTGACCATTTCACCTCCATTCATGTCCATGCCACATCAGGCTGTGTTGTCTAGATGGCATGAATCTACCCCAAATGTCCCTTTCTGGAGGAAGCCACCATTATGCTGTACCTCCAAGCATAATGATACGTCCACACACACCAAGGCACCTCACTCATGCAAGGTGTGTGTCCTCTAACAAAGTTTCACGCTCTAAACCCAGATAACTTTTGAAACCCAAGTTCTGTTGATTCCCCTACTTTGGGTGCTCCATAGATGCTCATTTGTCTACTAAACACTGCCCCAGGCAATTAAATATTCCAAAGTGACCAGCAGAATTTTTATGTTAATTCTGACATTGCATTGTTAGTACAAGTGTTTTTCCCCCTTCAAATTTATGTCTTTGTTACTGATAAATGTAACTGATAATGCTTTTTTCAGCTATGTTGCCAAGCATATTTATATAAAAATATACTCAGATTGTTTTCAGAATTTGACAAAGATGATAGCAACAACGATAATCTCATTTGTCTTATACTAATCTTTATGTGTTACTTTCATCATTTCTTACATATTGGGGCCTACCATACATTGTACGGTGAAATTAGTGCTATGCATCATGGTAGGAATATAAATTGGCAAAAGTAATTTAGAAAATAGTTCCCTTCTTTCTTAAAAAAATTAGGCTGGGTGTGGTGGCTCATGCCTATAATCCCAGCACTTTGGGAGGCAGAGGTGGGTGGATCACCTGAGGCTAGGAGTTTGAGACTAGCCTGACCAACACAGCAAAATCCTGTCTCTACTGAAAATACAAAAATTATCCAGGTGTGGTGGTGTGTGCCAGTTGTCCCAGCTACTCGGGAGGTTGAGGCACGAGAATTGCTTAAACCTGGGAGATGGAGGTTCCAGTGAGCCGAGATTGTGCCACTGCACTCCAGCCTGGGTCTCAGAAAAAAAAAAATTTTTTTTGACCAAAATGTCATTATGCATTACATGACTGTATATGAATGCTCAAAGCTACATTACTCATCAAAGAAAATAACAAAACAATTAAATGTCCATTAACTGATAAATGAATAAACACTATCTGTATGAATAAACACAGCAGACTATGAAGGAAAACACATGACCAGCACGTGCTAACACGTCAATTAACTTCAAACATAGTATGCTAAATGAGGGAAGTCAGATTCCAAATATATATATATGTCCATTTCTATAAAGCAAGTGGGAAATTTATGGAGATGGAATGTCACAGCAGTATTGCTTAGGGCTGGAGATGGGAGTGGGGATTAACTGCCAGTGCGCAAGAGAGAACTTGGGTGAGGGAAACATATTTAAATTAGATCGTGGTGTTGGGTGCACACAGTATCAATTTAATAAAGCATCAAATTCTAGACCTTTTCAGTGGGCAAACTTTATGGTGGGTTCACACCCAATATAGGTGTTAAAAATAATGTTACGGAAATTCTTGTCGGGTTTTTAACAAGCCAAGAGATATGCTGTGAAAGCAGCATTAATTCAAGTGGTTGTCACAGGTCACTTAAAGTTAATCAGATAGTTGTCCTACAAATATAGGGTGAATGTTATTCATGAATTTCCTGAATCTATTGCAATAATCACATTTTTTTCCATTAAACTCTTGAGGTAGCTAATTTTATTTATTGCATTTTCAATGTTAATCTACTATTTCATATGTTGAGATTAACTCACATTAGTCAGAATTTAAAGTATTTTAAAATATCACAGAATTTAATTTACCTTATCTGGTTTTGGTTTCAAGACTATAGTAGCCATTTCATTTAATTGTACATGTAGGGTATTCTAATTTATGGAAAACTATTACATTTTCCTTGATTTTTTTTTTTTTAGAAATTACTTCTAGGGATCTATATGGTAGAGTCCATGGAGAATTGTTTTAATTCTTCATTCATGTCTTCAGTGGGTATAGGATTGGTCATATTGGTCATAGTTTTCTGCTCGGATTTCAATAAGAAACTTGTGGAAGAACCTGAAGGGTGGGATCTTTGAGGGAGCCTAAGACAGAGCAAGACAAGCTAAGAAGGAGGGCAGTGCCACAGCAGAACTGCCATTGATGCCCCCTCGCCTAGATTGCGGAAGAGACATCCAGCTGTAGACACTGAGGTGCAGGAAAACAATGGAGCACCATCAGAGAAAGCAGTGCCCAGGAACAAGGAGGCACTGATGGTGGCAAGGGGCAAAGACAGCTGCCACGAGGCTGTTCACATGAGGGTCTCAGGCTGCATAGACACCCACACCAGCTGAGGGGTCCTGGTTTTCATAAAGTGTGTGGCTCAGCCAGGCCACCAACAAGCAGTTCACAAACAGTAGTAATACGACACTTTCCAAAGACCTTACTTGAGTAACACGGTGATCCTCACAAATTTCCAATCAGGATGGTCGCACAGTTCCTCCTGCTTTAGGACTCAGAGCCTGCCCGTGGTCACAGTGGGTAGGTGCAGACTCTGAAGATGCACTTTGGTCAGAGACCCTGCTGAACTCTGTCTAATGAGGACCTCTGTCCTGTCTGCTGACCACCGGTCAGAGGTGCAGGCTGCAGTGGGGAGTAAGAATGCCACCTTCTCAATGTTGGGAAAACTCCCTGCCAGAACTGAGAATGGCCCTTTCTAAGCAGAAGGCAAGCTCAGACTAAAGAAGGAGGCCGAACACATCAGGTTGGCAGATTGCCAAAGATTCACTCAGGGAGAGCCCACATCCTGGGCCATCTTGGGTGGTGGCAAGATGAGGTAGACGACTGCTTTTGCAACACACACCTGACAACAAAAAATCAACAACTGTAAAAGAGCCACAAAATCCCCAAATATTTGCAAATTAGCAATGCACTTTTAAATAACTGTTGGGTTAAAGAAGAAGTCTCAATAGAAAATTAAAAGTACTTTTAACTACATTAAAAGAAAATGTGACTTGGCAAGATTTCTGGATGTAGCAAAAGCAGTCCTTAGAGGGAAATCTATAGCATTGGATGCAATATACTAAAAATCACAAGACCTAAAATCAGTAATATCATGTTTCAATTAGGGAACTATAGAAAATAGAGGAATGCAATGGAAAGCAAGTAAAAGTAATAAACAACATCACAGAAATCAATAAAATTAAAACACTGAAATCATCAGAAAATCAATAAAACCAAAAGCTGGTTCTTTGATATGCTCATTACAATGAATGAATTGATATGCAGGCTAACCAAGAAAAAGAAGATAACACAAATGACCAATTTCAGAAATAAAAGAGGAGCCATCTCTACTGAACTGTTAGGCATTAAAAGGAATATCATGAACAGTTCTATGAGCGCAGTTTGATAACCTCAGTGAAATGTATCAATTCCTTGAAAGGCAATCTTCCCAAGGTCATGCTAGGATCCTAATTTGAATAAACTTATGTCTATTAAATAAGTTGAATTCACATTAAGAGCATTCCGAAAAAGAAAGCACCAGGCCCAGATGGTTTCTCTCATGAAATCTACCGAATTCTTCAACAGGTGAATAAAAAGACAAAAATTCATTTAATGCAATATTATTTGGTGATTTAATGTGCCATTTTTTGCCATTAAGGCATAAAAAAGACATGAAAGCAGCTAAAGCGTACATCAATTTAGTGCAATAAATTCATCTGAAAAAACTACATAATATATGATTCCAACTATATGACATTCTGGAAAAGGCAAAGCTGAAGCGATAGTAAAAATATTAATAGTTGCCAAGGTTTCTGGAGAAAGAGGACAGAGATTAATGAGAAGAGAGGATTTTTAGGGAAGTGAACATTTTCTTTATGAGACCATAAGGGTGAACATAATGTTTTAAATATTTCAAAATTCATATATATGTATAACAGAAAGAATGAACATTATGCAAATGCAGACTTCAGATAATAATGTGTCAATATTTTCTCATTATTCTAGCAAATGTACCACAGTAATGTAAGATGTTACTAATAGGTGAAATTAGGAAGTGAGGGTGAGGAGACAGAATAATATGGGAACTTCGTGTATTATATACTCAATTTTTATTTATTTATTTATTTATTTATTTATTTATTTATTTTGAGATGGAGTTTCACTCTTGTCACCCAGGCTGGAGTGCAATGGCATGATCTTGGCTCACTGCAACCTCTGCCTCCCGGGTTCAAGCGATTCTCCTGCCTCAGCCTTCTGAGTAGCTGGGATTACAGGCGCCTGCCACCACACCCGGCTAATTTTTTTGGATTTTTAGTAGAGATGGGGTTTCACCATGTTGGCCAGGCTGGTCTCCAACTCCTGACCTCAGATGATCCGCCTGCCTTGGCCTCCTAAAGTGCTGGGATTATAAGTGTGAGCCACCACACACGGCCATATGCTCAGTTTTTATGTCAATTTAAAACTCTCTAAAGAAATATATTAATTGAAAAATAATAATATAGCACCACTCTTTCAGGGAGATCTATGCTTATGTTTAACAACCAGGTAAGTTCTAGACATTAGCTTGAAGCATTGTCTATCATTAAACATGAACCAAAATTGACTTTTAAGTAGATATTTACTTTTGTGGTGGTAGCAATATTTACTGACCAGGCAAATTAGAATCCTGACACATTAAAAAATATGGCTTAGTCTCTTCATAGTTTCCTCTTACATATGGGACACTGAATACTCCCCGCAACTGCAATTCTTGAATCAACTTAATTAATGAACTTCCACAGTACCTTCTTGTGGGTACCTCTTCTTCTTTACCCGGGAGCCATGAGGTCTCCTACACTGGTTGGTGTGCACAGCATATCTTCTTGTATTCTCTATCAGAGAAGATGCTGGTTAATGCATTGACAATAGATAGGGCTGTTGACATCTTGCTGACAGAAGACCAGAGGGAAAATAGTGATAATCTGTTCTAAGTTTAAACTTATGATCCTTTTTTTACAGGCTTCCAAGCAGAGCCCACTGAATCAAAGTTGGGTTTCAGGAAGATCACGGAGTTCAGTGAGCACTCAACACCTCTATCAGACAGACTGCGTGGGCAGTGCCTTCCTGGAGAGGGGAACACAGCCGGATGACTGTGAGTGCAGGGCTGGTGCAGAGTGGGGGCCCGGATTCAAATTCCACTAAGCCATGTGGACCTGGCAAGCTCATGTCCTCCCTCTGCCCTCAGTTCTCTGCACTGTCATAATGTAATTTTAGCAATACTTTTTAGGCCCTATTTAAGCCCTACTTCTTAGTATCACAGTACAGGGCTAAAAAATCACTAAATACAGGAAAACCTTAGAGAGGACTGGTACTTCAGTAATGTTCTCTAAGTGTTTACTACATGCCAGGAGGAATAAGCTGGACACTTAGCAGTGGCGGAATATGGAGGGGGAACTTGGATGGCTCCGGGGCAGTGGAGCATGCTTTCCTGTTCGGCTTTTCCGTGGGCATGACGCCTTATGGTTTATGGAGAACATCAGCCCTGCAGGGGGTGCAGAGGAGGGGCTGTGGCTGAGATTTTACACTTGAGGGTGCTGACATTCAGAGATGATAAGTGACGAGCAGAACCTCAACCCCGCTGAGTGAAGGACCTGAGATGGGAAATGTATTTGGTTCCCTAGAGAGAGAGATTCCTGAAAAACTGCCACCTCTTCATCACGCCCTGTGCCACAGACCCAAGAGACCCCTCACTGTCTTTCTCCAGTCCTCCTAGCCCAAGGTGTGTGGGTGGACAAAGGTGGTGCTCTGGAGGAAATGCCTGAGATAAGGACAGGTCCTTAATGATAAAGAATTCTCCTTCCTCTTTCAGATCCTTGACCTCCCAGTATGACAGCTTAAAGGCTGTCATCTCTGTGGCCTGCCTCCCCTTGCCCTTCACCCTGCCAGCTGCCTCTCAGTGACTGTCTCCTCCAGTGACTACACTGAGGGACCAGGGACTGCTTGCCTCCCGAGGCTGCTCACACCTTCTGACACCGCAAAATGATTGTCAAAAATGGGTCTGCAAAGAGTAACTTCCCTTCCACTGATCAAACCTGAATATGCAAGCTACTGTCAATTAACTGGAAAAGTGGCCGTGTGGGCTGGTGCTTTGGTGATTTAATGAATTAAGTCTGCAAGCCCCACTGCCTCCTTGACTATTGATCAGAGCTGCCTGCAATAAGGTCTGGCTAAGAATGGGCAGTGGCTGCACCAGCTCTGGGTAAAATTTGACCTAAAATGACCAATCTCATTCACTAACCTCACCATAGTCTTATGGGTTCAATGGACCTGTCCAATCCTTTGCTCTGTTCTCTCCATCACCTTCCTGTGTAATTTTCCTCCACCACGCACATAATAGAAACATGGCACAGGGGAGCTAATCGCCTCTTTTATCCCCCACTTCAGGCTCACACATAAGTTTATAGTAAAAGCCTTTTCAAATGACTGCTTTAACTGCTGCTACAGCATGTGTCATCAGTTGAATGGAATCTGTCACGTGACTTTAAGCAACCCTTTGCTGAGAGACAAGATTCAATACTAGGGACAGTATTCTAGTGTACTACATCATTGATTTTATGTTATGAAGATCATCATTTATTGAAAATGTATAAATAATGAAGCCCAGCCTTACTCTTCAACGCTGTGTGTGTAAATCCACTGAGTGTGCTGACCCCCACGCTTGTACCCACCTGCTAACACAGAAAGGGTCCACTCAGAAGGGAGGCACAGCTCCAGCACTGAGGCTGTCCACACCAGCTTCACAAGAGGGTTGCCACAAGGACGACGGATACCCGGATAACAACCAAATGGTAATTTGAGTACTTAATGGTCATGATCCCTAAAGTGTGTAGCTCAGAGGGCTTGTGGTGATAACTCCATCAAGACTCTAAAGCATCTCCCCAATTCTTACTGGACTTGATCCATGTCTTGAGGAGACCCAGCTATGACACGCAGGCACCACGTTGTCCTACTTAGTGCCTCCCTTAGTGTTTCAGAACCTGTGATTTGATCAGAAACATGGGCTTTCTATGTTGGTTTCACACTAAGGACTATGTGACACCTGCAGGAAGATGTCTACATAGCTACCTGGATTATGAGATCATGAGGCTGTCTTATGTGAGGGATGGCGTTTGGGATCTCTGCAGGCGTGGGTAATTCCAGGCATAGAGGGTGCTGGAACTCCCTTGCATGGTGAATAGTGATCTCTTCACTGGCTGATAAATAGAGGTTGTAGTTCAGGCCTTCAACATTAGCACCGTATGAGGAAACATTTTGACTCTTCACTATGCAGCAAGTGAACCAGAGCACATTTATTTATGTGGCTTAGTTTCTCCATCTGGCATGTGGGCTCAATAAACAAGCTCACAACATATGGGCATGATGATGATGAGGTGTGAACTAATGTAAGTAAAGTATGTGGTCTGATTTGTTAAATTAAGAAAAATGGCACTGAGAGTTGTGCTGGGTAAACACAACATTTTTTTCCTGGGGGAAACACAGATAGACACACATTCACAAGCAAATCATGCAGACTTGCACACAGACCACCTCACCCCACCCCCGCCCTAATACACACATACCCACACACAACCTAATGTGAACATGTTCCCAGAAACTATACATAGATAAAAAGAGTATGTCACCAGGAAAACCAGTTTCTTTTACTATACCCTACATCCTCATTCCCACCAGATGTCTTGGATCATGGAGGCTCTCCGGACAAAAGCCAGCAGTTAAGCTCCAGATTTCCTGTAGAATCCTTTTCTAACAACCAGTGAGTGATTCCAGAATACGTACCATTGAATGTGCTCCCTGAAGTCACCTGTAATTAGAGAAGGAAAACACTCTGAGAATCAGGCTATGCTATGGATGGCTCACACAGGTCTTTTGTTCACTTGGAAACTCTGGGTAACCAAGATTGGAAATAAGGTTCAAGTCAAAAGCCCCAACTCTAGAGTAGAGTTCCCTTAGGAAAGCACAGGAGCTTTTCTTGAAGAATGTTTCTGTCTAGGTAATTTTTGAGTAGCAATTGCAGAATTCTTATCTAAAGTGGAAAGCTTGTTCCTGAAGAAAACATCCCTTAACACCCAGTGTACTATCTGACACTGCCAATTTTGCACGTCCTCTGGAATCAGGTGTCAGTTGGTAAAATACACCTCCTCCATCCCCAAGGAAATATTATCTAACACCTATAATGTAGTGGAGAATTTTCCCATAGCTGATATCAACTGAAAAATAAAGGATCCAAGAAAACAACATTTACATCTTAGGCAAAGACAGGCTACTTTACCTTGGTAGTAGAGTAGGGCTTCCTTTTCACACGCTTTTTGGAAGGCTTCTTCGAGTCACCTAGGGGATGTGGAGGGACACAGCATGGCTGTCAGTTCATTGGCAGTGCTACTCATGAATGACTCAGGGACTGGAACTTAGGGGCGTGCCTGGTTAACAAGCATGGAATGAGCTTCTCCTGGACCATCTTCTTCACGGACCAAGGAAGGCAAAGAAAGAGCAGCAAGGAAATGAGAGTAGAGCCCTTGGCTTTCCAGGTAATGGCAAATGAAAGCAACGTGAAATAATCAACTCCAAATGAACAAATGCTAAAACACATGCTACGATTCAACCACAGCATCCTGTCACTTCTTCAGACCCTTTAAAAGCCCAGCAGGACTGCCACTACCTTCTTGACATCGACCAAGTCCCTTTCAACCTCCACAGACCCACATACACTGCTACTGCATTTATCATGGAGGGTATAGGGTTCTGCCCTGTTTATGTGTGAATTTTTTAAAAACTAGATTTAATACCATGCACCAGCATTAATTGTATTTATTTCTTTTCTTGGTTATGAAAATAATCAGTCAGGCATAGTGGCTCACACCTGTAATCCCAGCAGTTTGGAAGGTGGAGGTGGGTGGATCATTTGAGGTCAGGAGTTCGAGACCAGCCTGACCAACATGGTAAAACCCCATCATTGAAGATAAATGTTTTATATCCATGGTTAACAGATGAGATGACCATGAAATGAACACCAGTGTACTGGGTGGAGCAGCTTATCTATTCAGTCTTCGGCACTAAAACCTGTGAAACAATATCATCTTGCCTTATTTACTAACAAATACAAGTGCCTCTAAACTTAGACAGTTTCCAAGTCATGGAACTGATGAGCACTTAGCTCCTGCAGAGAGCTCTGGATGATGGGTCGGGAGAACAAAGACACAATACATCAAAACAGCATTCACAAGTAAACAGGTTTTCAAAGCCCTCTACATGCAAATTTACACAATTATCCTTTTAATTTTTATCTTCATATATATGTACATAATCTACTTGCTTCTGAGTATAAATCAAACTGTATGTTCTTAGTTAATAGTCTCTATAAATTCACTCTATTTATCTTTCTGAGTTGAAATACTGCATCTCATTGGATAACAAAAAAAAAAATTTGACTAAGATTACACTGGAAAGGTGAGTAGGTTGGGTGATTGACTGTGATTGACAATTCCATGATTCTGGATAACTTCCAAAGCATAAAAATAAATGTGTGTTTTCTTTCACACGTAGACAATACACATGCTTATTACTTTAAAAAATTAATATGTGCATGGAAGTGACTTACTACAAATATATTAAAGTAAATACACATTTCACAAAAAAAGAAGAGAGGAAGGGAAAAACATGTTAAAAACAAAGAGAGTTACATTTTATTGTGTGAAAAGCCTCCAACGGATCCTTACTACTGTGGCTTTGTTCCAAAGTTTTGGAAAGTAATGATTTCATAGGTTCTTAATTGGGTTAAAAACAGCATTAAAATAGACTCTGCCATATTCTCCCCTGGGGAATAACTTAATCTGTGGGGTGGGGAATGGAACGTTGAAGGATGCAGGATGTAAAAGGAAATTATATATATATTATATATATTATATATTATATGATATATATAATATATATATTATTTATTATATATATTATATGTTATATATAATATATATAAATAATATATAATGTACATAATATATAATTATATAATATATATTATATATTATATATTATATACATAATATATAATTATATAATGTATAATATATATTATATATAATATAATATATATTATCTATAATATATATAATATATTATATATATTATATATTATATTTAATATATTATATATATTATATATATAATATATTATATATAATATATATAATATATTATATATAATATATTAAATACATTATATATATATTTTATATATATATATATTTTTTATATATATATATATAATATATATATATAATTTGGGAATTTGGGAATAAACTGAATCCCAATTCACACTGGGACTACACCAGCTGCCACCATGCCTGGCTAATTTTTTGTATTTGTAGTAGAGACAGGGTTTCACTGTATTGGCCAGGATGGTCTTGATCTCCTCACCTTGTGATCCTCTTGCCTTGGCCTCCCAAAGTGCTGGGATTATAGGCCTGAGTCAAGATACATATTTTTTAAATGAAGAAAAATTTGAAAGATACTCTGCTTGGTACAATAATCAAATATATAAATTGAGGAATAAAACATAATCATGAAACATATTTATAACTGCATATGGAAAATACAGAGGCTAATTTTTTAAATAACATATTTTGAAAGCATTAACTAGTAATTTGAAAAGATCGCATTTGACAGGCCAGTATGAACATACCTTGAATGCAGCCACACAGGTTCCCCATAAGAAAAATCAAAATCAGGGAAAATGAAACCACAATGGTTCAATCTGCTCTGACCTTTGAAAAACTCAGCACAGGTAGTGGCACTTACGACCAAGGGCAGGAGATCCCTAATCCCATCACCATGGCGATAGGGCATAAACATTCCAGGGTGAAGGCACAATCCACACTGTGAGGTCCAACTGCTGCCATGCAGACAGGTGGGCTTTTACAAGTACAGGAAGGTCATCAAAGGCTCAGTGTTTTGTTTCAAAAACTGAATCCCAAGCCCACACATTATTATGCTGGCTTCTTAAAATAAGTTGTGAGATGGGAAGTAGGGCACCCACAAATATATATATATATAATTATATATAATATAATATATAGTATATATATAATATATTTAATATATTATATATATATATAATTTGGGAATTTGGGAATAAACTGAATCCCAATTCACACTGGGACTACACCAGCTGCCACCATGCCTGGCTAATTGTTTGTATTTGTAGTAGAGACAGGGTTTCACTGTATTGGCCAGGATGGTCTTGATCTCCTCTCCTTGTGATCCTCTTGCCTTGGCCTCCCAAAGTGCTGGGATTACAGGCCTGAGTCAAGATACATATTTTTTAAATGAAGAAAAATTTCAAAGTTACTCTGCTTGGTACAATAATCAAATATATAAATTGAGGAATAAAACATAATCATGAAACATATTTATAACTGCATATGGAAAATACAGAGGCTAATTTTTTAAATAACATATTTTGAAAGCATTAACTAGTAATTTGAAAAGATCGCATTTGACAGGCCAGTATGAACATACCTTGAATGCAGCCACACAGGTTCCCCATAAGAAAAATCAGAATCAGGGAAAATGAAACCACAATGGTTCAATCTGCTCTGACCTTTGAAAAACTCAGCACAGATACTGGCACTTAGGAGCAAGGGCAGGAGATCCCTAATCCCATCACCATGGCGATAGGGCATAAACATTCCAGGGTGAAGGCACAATCCACACTGTGAGGTCCAACTGCTGCCGTGCAGACAGGAGGGCTTTTACAAGTACAGGAAGGTCATCAAAGGCTCAGTGTTTTCTTTCAAAAACTGAATCCCAAGCCCACACATTATTATGCTGGCTTCTTAAAATAAGTTATGAGATGGGAAATAGGGCACCCACAAATATATATATATATAATTATATACAATATAATATATATAATATATATAACATATATATAATTTCCTTTTACATCCTGCATCCTTATATTATATATAATATTATGTATAATATAATATGTATTATTATATATAATATAATATATATGAATATATATAATTATATAATATAATATGTAATTCTATATAATTCTATATAATATAATATATATTATATATAAATATATATAATATACTATATTATATATAAGTATACATAATATATTATATATACGTATACATAATATAGTATATTATATAAACATATATATAATATATTATATATACGTATATATAATATATTATATATACGTATATATAATATATTATATTATATATACGTATATATAATATTATATATACGTATATATAATATATTATATTATATATACGTATATATAATATTATATATATATTATATATAAGTATATATAATAATGTAATATATTATATATAAGTGTATATAATGTAATATATAATATAATATAATAATATATTATAATATATTATATATTATAACATAATATAATATAATATACATTATAATATAATATATAATATTATATATAATATAATATATAATATAAAATAATATAATATATAATATAATATATAAAATAATAATTAATATTTTAAATTAATTATTATTAATTAATATTAATTAATATTAAAAATAATATAAAATATAATTACTATAATATAATCTATAATTATTATATATAATATAATATACAATTATATATAATATTATATATAATAAAATATATATAATTATGTGTATTTATTACATATAATATAATACATAAATTATATATAATTATTACATATAATATAATATATAATTATATATAATTATTACATATAATATAATATATAATTAGATATAATTATTACATATGATATAATATATAATTATATATAATTATTACATATGATATAATATATATAATTATATATAATTATATAATTATATATACAAGATAATAATATATAATATATAATATATATTACATAATATTTTATATAATATATTATACTATATATATTATATAATATTTTATATAAAATATTATATATTATATATAATATAATATTTTATATAAAATATTATATATTATATATAATATAATATTTTATACAATATAATATATAATATATATTATATTATCATATGTTATACAATAATATGTTATAGTATAATATATATTATAATCTAATATATTATATATTATTATATATTATATTATATATAACATTATATAGTATTATATATTTTATAATAATAATATAATATATAATATTATATATTATATATAATATATAATATATTATGACATATTATATATAATATATAATATATTATGAATATATTATATATAATATATAATATATTGTGATATATATTATATATTATATAATATATTATGATATATATTATATATAATATAATATAATTATATGTAATATAATATTATATATC
Organism: Homo sapiens; assembly: GCF_000001405.40. Classification (NCBI taxonomy): domain Eukaryota; kingdom Metazoa; phylum Chordata; class Mammalia; order Primates; family Hominidae; genus Homo; species Homo sapiens. The sequence continues at coordinate 18,389,094 of NC_000022.11, forward strand.
TTATATATCACATATTATATATTTTATATCATATACTATATATTATATCATACATTACATATAATGTATGTCACATATTATATGTAATATATGTCACATATATGTAATATATGTCATATATTATATATAATATATATCATATATTATATATGTCATTTATTCTGTAATATGTATCATACATATTACATAATATGTATTATGGTGTCTGGTGGTCCCAGGACACAGACTGATGTCACTCAGCCTCACATGACACTCTGTCCTCACCACACTTGGGGTCCTGGGAGTCGTAGCACCAGGCACCTATAGAGACAGTGGGCAGGAGGCTGAGCTGAGAGACCAGTCATCTGGGTCCTCTCCAAGCCCCATCCCATCAACTGGGGTCCAAGAATGAAGTAGGCCAGGGGCTTAGGCCAGGGGAGGCCAGTGAAGAACCTTCTCTCATGTCACCCCTACCCCAGTATTTTCTCTCCCCAGTCCCTCCCCACTCCCAGTGGCAAGACCTAAGGGGTGGTGGAGCATGGCAAGAGGGTAGATTGGAGACCAGACGGGAAGAGTCCTGGTGCTCACTCTCAGAGTCTGCACCACACCAGCTGCACCGCAAGGCGAGCATGATGCCAGGGGCGTGCGTGGCTCAGTGGCAGCCGCAGCTAGGAAGGACTAGAAAGTGGCTAGACCGCGGAGCCAAGATGCTGGCCTGGCTACTACATATTTATTCATTAGCTAGCTGGGCTAGGGGCGTGGCTATTGAGGAGAGGATGGGAGGGGTCGGTGCCCAGGCAGGGCCACCAGGAAGAGCGGGAGCGCTCCAAACTCACCCAGGTGTGCTCTGGTCCCAGGGCTGCACTGATGCCAGCAACAATCGCTGAGGTTAATCCTGCAGGGGAGGGGTGACCTATTATTATCCCCACTTACAGTCCAGGAAACAGAGGCTGGGGACCAGAATGACACACCAAAGCCACCAGCAAGAAAGGTCAAATAGTGAGGGCACCTTGAACCCCAGCGCCCATGACTTTCGGGGCAAGGATGGGAGGAAGGTGTAGGATGTCTCTTGCCCCGCTGTGGGCCTGGAACTGCCACCCCATCCCAAGACCATAGCCTCCCTCCTGCCCAGGCCCCCCTGCGGATCCAGGCCAAGACGGAGCCCTGCAGGAGGTCAGAGGAGGGGACTTCTTTGCACCCTGCGCCTCTTTCCAATCGCCAGAGGGCAGGGCCCTACCCACATTGGGGATGGGAAGTCAAATGCAGAAGTTAGGTGAAGTCAGTTCTTGGATACTCCTGTACTGTCACCCTGGTCTTATCTCATGCCTTAGCCCAAGCTGTGCACACAATGGGGTCCTAGGTCCCCCTCACCTCCCAGATTCCACCTTCCCAGGGATGGGACCCCCTGGAACCCTCGGGGGCCTGGGCAGTGGCCTTGCTGGCTCTTGCCTTCCTAGGAGCTGAGCAGGAGCTCCACTCTCAGCAGGGCAGTTCACTGCAGCCTCTGCTTCCTCAGCTCAAGCCATCCTCCCACCTCAGCCTCCTGAGTAGCTGGGAATGCAGACACACACCACCACGCCTGGCAAATTTTTGTATTTTTAGTAGAAACAGGGTTTCACCATGTTGCCCAGGCTGGTCTCGAATGCCTGAGCTCAAGCGATCTACCCACCTCGGGCTCCCAAAGTGTGGGAGCCAAGATGGGAACCCAAGCATACGGCCCCAATGCTGAGGCTCTGAACTACTGACCTGCCCTCAGCACTCAGCCTTGGGATCATGAGTCACTGTGCAAGGGAGTTCCAACATCTGCATGTATGTCTGGAATGATCTGAGCCTGCAGAGTTCCTACACACTGGCCACATTATAGGGTGGTGTCCGTGGTCACACAGCTCAGGGCAGGTATTTATTAGTACATGAATAGCTTAGCTGTGTCATAGTCTTTATGTGAAAGGCACAAAAAAAGGCACTTTGGCAGGCTGAAAGTGTGGGGATTATAGGTGTCAGCCACCGTGCCTAGCCCACTGGATGACTTATGATATCATATGTGACATTGTGACATCATGTGAGTCAGGGATGTACCCCGTTCTCAGCTGCTATATGCTATGTTACACTGACAGAATGGGAATGAAGAATGTGTCCCACTCTCTCAGCTGTTGTATTATATCATACAAGGTGCAGTGACTAAGTGTGTCAGCTGTGTCCTCATCCTACATAGCATATGAGAGTGTGTGACGGGAGATAGGATGCAGACCTGAGAAGCATTAAACACCTAGGCAATAAAGGTGCCAGCATCAGCTGAGAGCGCAGGTAGACCTCAGTCACATTTGTTACTGTGTAACTAAAAATACAAAATTAGCTGGGTGAGGTGGTGCACGCCTGTGGTCCCCACTGCTCAGGCACCTGAGGCAGGAGAATTGCTTGAACCCAGGAGGCAGAGGTTGCAGTGAGCTGAGATTGCACCACTGCACTCCAGCCTTGGGGACAGAGTGAGACTGTATCTCAAAAAAATAAAATAAAATAATCTAGGACAACCAAGAGAAGGACTCAGGCTCACCTTACTCCATGTCACATGTGATATATAACACTTGAGGGGGACACACACTTGTCACTTTGTATCACTATGTCCTATATGATAGCCAATGATAACCCAAGAGGGGGAGGCAGCCTTGTTCACACCATGTCACTTATGATATTATATGACATCAAGGAGCCCAGACCTCAGTTGCATTATGTCACTATGGCACATACAGTATCATGCAACAACTGACAGAAGGGTTGCAGGCCTGATTCACAGTGTATGTGAGTCACAAATGTCACTTATGACACCATACAGCAGGTGAGAGGGGATAGTCATTACTCACCTCGGGTCACATTGTCACACATGATACCATATGATAGCAGAGGGGGATGCAGAACTGAGTTGTATTATGTCGCTATGTAACCTGTGATAGATGATAGCTGATGCGGGTGAAGACCAAAGTTACATTTTGTACCTACATTATATGAAATATACAACATGCACGAGGGAGATGCAGACACAAATCACACTGTGTGCTGTATCCCATATATGTGTTTAATTTCTGTGTTTAAGAGAGCTGGGTTCATGAATGAACTTAGTCACTGCACCTTGTATGATATAATACAACAGCTGAGAGAGTGGGACACATTCCTCATTCCCATTCTGTCAGTGATTGACCACACCTTGTGTTAACTGTATGAGCCACTGTGTTTGGCCGTGTATAGCGCACGTGGCACATTGCTCACTGATACATATTTGCTCCGTACTGAAGTGAGGCAGATGCATGAGTGATTGAGAATAATGCTGCCTTGGTGAAGCATTCCATTTAGAAGCATGAGGTTCAGGTACTACCATCTTCTGTGATACATATTTAAATGTTAAGTTTAACAGTTAGGTCTACCATGAGTGAATGAGCCTTGCATTATCTTTGAGAATCGATGTGTTTAGCAGGGTGTGGCTCATCTAAGATAGCCTTCTTTAATGCATGTTCACTATCTGTGTTTATTAGAAATAGGTTTGTGAATGACTTAGCATAGTGTTTTCCCTATGAAACCCTGTTTATTTATTTATTTATTTATTTTGAGATGGAGTTTTGCTCTTGCAACCCAGGCTGGAGTGCAATGGTGTGGTCTCGGATCACTGCAACCTCTGCCTCCCAGGTTCAAGCGATTCTCCTGCCTCAGCCTCCTGAGTAGCTGGGATTACGGGCGTCTGCCACCACACCCAGCTAATTTTTGTATTTTTAGTAGAGACGGGGTTTCACCATGTTGGCCAGGCTGGTCTCGAGCTCCTGACCTCAGGTGATCCTCCTGCCTCAGCCTCCCAAAGTGCTGGAATTACAGGCGTGAGCCACCACACCCGGCCAAAACCCTGTTTTAAGAAGTGTGTGGTGCAGGTACTACATTCTTTGTTGTTCCAAGTTCAAACCCTGTGTTTAACAGAGATAGGTGCAAGATTGCCTAGGTGTAGCGTAGACTCTTGGAAATACTGTGGTTAGCATTCTGTGTTTTCTGTAGTATAGTTTCAGTGATGCCTGTTTAGATAGTTTATCAGATCTAGGTACTAGTGTTATGTCAGCGAAACACTGTTTAGCTGCACGCGGTGCATGTAATACTTTGTTCATTGATATTTGTTTAAATCAATCAGTGTTTACCAGAACTAGATATGTGAGTTACTGAGAATAGCCTAATCTCTGAAAATGTTTTCCAGCCTATGGTGCATGTAATATACTCTTCTATGGTACCTCTTTCCGATGTTTTTATTGTGGCAAAATATACATAACAGATTATACCATTTTTAAGTGTAGAATTTAGTGGTAGTAAGTATAGAGAGAACCTTAAAAGCAGCAAGAGAAAAGTGACTTCTCATGTGCAAGGGAGCCTCTAGAAGATTATCAGTGGATATTTCAGCAGAAACCCTGCAGGCCAGAAGGTGGTGGGATGATACATTGAAAGTACTGAAAGAGTAAAGCCTGCCAACTGAGAATACTATATTTGACAAAACTGTCCTTCAAAAGTGAAGGAGAAATTAAGACATTCCCAGATAAATAAAAGCTGAAGGAGTTTATTACCACTAGACCTGACCAATAAGAAATAATAAAGGGGCCGGGCACAGTGGCTCATGTCTGTAATCCCAGCACTTTCGGGAGCCGAGGCAGGTGGATCACCTGAGGTCAGGTGTTCAAGACCAGCTTGACCAACATGGCGAAACCCCATCTCTAATAAAAATACAAAAATTAGCTGGGTGTGGTGGCACGCACCTGTAATCCTAGCTACTCAGGAGGCTGAGGCAGGAGAATCACTTGTACCCGGGAGGTAGAGGTTGCAGTGAGCTGAGATCACACCACTGCACTCCAGTCTGGGCAACGGAGCGAGACTTCATCTCAAAAAAAAAAAAAAGAAACAATAAAGGGAGTCCTTCAAGTTGATATGAAGGGATACTAGACAGTTGCTCAGCCTGATGAAAATATAAAGGTAAATACATAAAGATTAAAACCTGTATTATTGTAATTTTTGCTAATAACTCAATTTTTAATACTTTAATGGAATTTAAAGGACAAAAGCATAATAATTATAAATCTATGTTAATGGATACAAAGTATATAAAGTTTAATTTGTGACATCAGTAACTTAATAGTGGGGCAAAGATGTAAAGAGTAGAGGTTTTGTATGTGATTGAAGTTATCTGTTTAAAATAATAAGATAACTTTAAGATGTTCCATGTAATTCCCATAGTAACCACAAAGAAAATACCTACAGAATATATGCAAAAGGAAATGAGAAGGAAATCAGAGCATAGCACTACAAAAAATCAACTATAACACAAAGGAAGACAATAAGGGAGGAAAGAAGGACAAAAAGGCTCTAAACATACAGAAAACAATGACCAAAATGGTGGTAGTAAGTCCTTCCTAATCAATAATTTCATTAAATGTGCATAGGTTAAACTCCCAATAAAAAGACATAAATTGGCTGATTGGATTTAAAAAAACGGGATTCAACTATATATGCTGTCTACAAGAGACTCATTTGAAATCCAATACAAATGGGTTGAAAAATGAGAGAATGGAGAATATTCCGTGCAAAAAGTAACCAAAACAGATCAGGAATGGCTGTACAAGTTATGGCTGTACAAGTTGTTGGGGTTTATGTTACTGAAGAATGAACAGAGATGAGTAAGTGGAGGTGTTATGTAAAGGCATACTGTACTCAAAATCTGAAGACCTGCAGCAGATTTAAATTCCAGCTCTTATTATAACTTTTTAAAAGATTGTGAAAATATCAAAATATAGATGAATCAAGTTTTAATATACTGTATGATGGGTGGATGAGGCTGTCCATTGTACCATTTGTTTGAATTCTCAGGCATGGTTTGGCAGTGCAAGAACTCTGTAACGTTAACAAATTCAATAAAAAGTAAATATATGGAAAAAAAAGTATAGACAAAATAGATTTTAAGTAAAAAACTATTACAAGAGAGGGTTCTGGGAAGAAAGTGGAGTAGGAAGCACTGGGAATTCATCTCCCCACCTAGAAAATAATCACACTGGCAGAATCTGCCTGATATAACTATTTTGGAACTCTAGACTCTATCAAAGGAGGCTTGTAACCTCCAAATGAAGGCTTAAACTATAATTTTTACTTAATTTTGGTCAATTTCAGCTCTTAGCTCAGCAGTGGCTACCCAATCCCCATGCCCCAGCTTCACGGCAAGAAGCTTTGCATGTGTTCCTGAAGCAGCTTGTACCAAGCTTGTGGGAACAATCATGGGCAATAAGCACTCTGTCCTCCAAGTGTTAGCATCTGCGTTCTGGTTGTTGATTGCTACTTTTGATTATGGAAGGGCAAACACAGAGGCCGGCAGCCATTATTGCTCACAACTCCCCACTCCACTGCTGCAAGCCCTTACCAGACTGAAGCAACTTCTAGGAGATAGAAAAGGCCAGAACCCCATTTCCCTTCCCCTTCATTGTTCTCTTTTCCTTTTTTGGGAGCCAAACATTAAAGACTAGGACACTCAAAAGCAATGGCATACCCAGAGGAAATTAAAGTTACCACACATCCTTGGAGAGAGGAGTGTGTGCCCAGGGAAAGGAGCAGCTTCAGACCTGAGAAGACCTCAAGCTTACAACTCAGGTTGATCCTCAGCATGGAGACAACCTACAACAATGTAAAACATAACAAAACCCTAAAACAGCAAACCCTGAGGAAGAGGAGAGTCTCATCTCCAGAGTTACTGCATTATTATATTCAAGTGTCCAGTTTTCAATACAAAACACAAGGCATACAAAAAACAAGAAAATATGGTATTTCAAAGGAAAAACAACAACAGAAACTGTTCCAGAGAAAGACCAGATGGTAACCTACTACACAAATACTTTAAAACAACTTTCTTAAAGATGGTCAAAGAACTGAAGGAAGATGTGGAGAAAGTCAGTAAAATTATGTGTAAACAAAATGGGAATATCAATAAAGAGATAGAAAACCTAAAAAGAAAAAAAATAAATAAATTCTGGAACTAAAAGTGTAGTGATTGAAATAAAAGTTCACCAGAGGGATTCAAAAGCAGATTTGAGCAACAGAAGAAAGATTCAGTGAATTTGAAGATGGGACACTTGAAATGATCAAGTCAGAGGAACAGAAATAAAGACGATTGTTGAATAGCAAGCAGACATTGTGGAAGTCCCAAAAGAAGAGAGGGAAAGGGGCAGAGAGATCATTTGAAGAAATAATGGCTGAGGCTGAACACGGTGACTCACACCTGTAATCCCAGCACTTTGGGAGGCCAAGGTGGGTGGATCACAAGGTTAGGAGTTCGAGACCAGCCTGGCCAATATGGTGAAACCCCGTCTCTACTAAAAACACAAAATTAGCCAGGTGTGGTGGTGCATGCCTGTAATCCCAGCTACTTGGGAGGATGAGGCAAGAGAATCGCTTGAACCCAGGAGGCAGATGTTGCAGTGAGCCGAGATTGTGCCATTGCCCTCCAGCCTGGGCAACAAGAGTGAAACTCCGTTTAAAAAAAAAAAAATTAGCTGGGCGTGGTGGCACGTACCTGTAGTCCCAGCTACTCAGGAGGCTGAGGCAGAAGAATCGCTTGAATCCAGGAGGCAGAGGTTGCAGTGAGCCAAGATCACACCACTGTACTCTAGCCTGGGCAACAGAGCGAGACTCTGTCTCAAAAAAGAAAAAAAAAAAGCTGAACACTTCCCAAATTTGATGAAAGACATGAAAATAAATATCCAGAAAACTCAATGGACTCCAAGTAGGATGAAAAAAAAAAGACTCATACTGAGACATTATAATTAGCCAGTAGGGCCTCTTGAAAGCACCAAGAGAGAAGCAACTAGTCACATGCTAGGAATATATAATAGGATTATAAGTAGATTTCTCATCAGACACTTTGGAGAACAGAAGACAATGGGATGACATATGTAAAGGGCTAAAAGAAAAACAACCACTACCTCTCAACCAAGAATCCTATATCCAGCAAAACTGTCCTTCAAAAGTGAGGAAGAAATTGGGAAATCCCCAAATAAACCAAAGTTGAGAAGTTTGCTACCATTAGACCTGCCCTGCAAGAAATCTTAAAGAGAATCATGCAGGTTGAAAAGAAAGAACACTAGATAGTAACTCAAAGCCATATGAAGAAATAAAGATGCCAGTAAAAGTAAATATATGGGAAAATATTAAATCTAGTATTATCGTAACTTTGGTTTAAAACTCCATGTTTTGCTTTCTACATAATTTAATAGACAAATGCATTAAAAACAATTATTAGTTTATGTTTATGGACACACAATGTACAAAAATGTAATTTTGTGACATTGATAACTGAAAGAGGAGTGGCAAAACTGTGAGGAGAATTTTTGCATATTATTGAAATATAGCTGGTATGAATTCAAGTTAGAGTGCTATAACTTTAGAATGTTAAGTGTAATCCCTATGGTAACCACAAATAAAACATTATATAACATAAAAAAGTAAATGAGAAGGGAATTAAAACACTTCGCTACAAAAAATCAACTAAATACAAATGAGATCATGCAGGAAATGGACAAAAATGCTGTAAGGCATATAGAAAATGTATAGCAAAATGCCAGAAGTAAGTCCCCCCTTATCAGTAATTACTTTATTACTTTTTAAACCATTTTGTTGAGGAATGATTTACATAAAAACTGTACATATTTAACGTACACATCTTGATAAATTTACACCATAAAACCATTATCATCAAGCCTATAAACATATCCATCACCTTTTAAAATTTCCTTCTGCCTCTTTATTATTATTATTGTATAAAAAAAATGTTTTTAATGGCCAGGTGCGGTGGCTCACGCCTGTAATCCCAGCACTTTGGGAGGCTGAGGCAGGCGGATCACCTGAGATCAGGAGTTGGAGAGCAGCCTGGCTAAGATGGCAAAACCCCATCTCTACTATAAATACAAAAATTAGCTGGGCGTGGTGGCGGGTACCTATAATCTGAGCAAAGTACTGGGAGGCTGAGGTGGGAGAATCTCTTGAACCTGGGAGGTGGAGGTTGCAGTGAGCCGAGACAGCACCATTGCACTCCAGCCTTAGCAACAAGAGTGAAAATCTGTCTAAAAAAAAATAATAATAATAAAAGTTTTTAATTAAACAATTTAAGAATATAGTAACATTTTCTGTGGGTACTATGCTGTATAGCTCTCCAGAACTTACTTATCTTGCATAACTGAAATTTGTACACTTTAACCATCAACTTCCCATTTCCTTCTCTTCCCCAGCTCCCAGCAACCACCATTCTGTTCTCTTCTTCTGAGTTTGACGTCTTTAGGTTCCACACATAAGTGAGATTGTACAACATTTCACTTTCTGTGTCTGGCTTATTTTACTTAACATAATGCCCTCCAGTCCATCTATGCATAGAAATGCAACTGATTTTTGGATGTTGACTCTGTATCTTGCTACTTTATTGAATTTATTACTTCTAACAGTCTTTTAGTGAAGTCTTTACAGTTTTCTATACATAAAAATATGTCATCTATGGAGACCATTTTACTTCCATTCTTATTTCTTTACTTGCTTAATTGTTCTGGCTAGGACTTCCAGTCCTATTTTGAGGAGAAATGGTGAGAGTAGGAATTCTTGTCTTGTTCTTCATCTTCGAGGAAAAACGTTCAGTCTTTCACTGTTGAGTATGTTACATGTGGTCTTCATTATGTTGAGGTACATTCCTTCTGCACCTAATTTGCTCAGTTTGTTGTTTTTTTTAATCATGAAAGGATGTTGAATTTTATCAAGTGCTTTTTAATAATAAAAATAAAGGATTTTTATCGTTTATTGTGTTGATGTGGTGTATCACATTTAGTGACTCTTGTATGTTAAAGCATCCTTGCATGCCAGAGATAAATCCCACTTGATCCTGGTGAATAATTCTTTTTTTGTTTTTTATTTATTTATTATTTATTTATTTTTTTGAGATGGAGTCTCGCTCTGTCATCCAGGCCTGAGTGCAGTGGCGCGATCTCGGCTCACTACAAGCTCCGCCTCCCAAGTTCACGCCATTCTCCTGCCTCAGCCTCCCTAGTAGCTGGGACCACAGGCACCCGCCAGCATGCTCAGCTAATTTTTTTTTTTTTTGGATTTTTGGTAGAGACTGGATTCATGGTGAATAATTCTTTTAATGCACTGTTGAATTTGGTTTACTAGTATTTCATTGAGGATTTTTGCATCTATGTTAACCAGGGATATTGACCTATAGTTTTCTTATTTTGTAGTGTTCTTATCTGGCATTGATATCAGGATAATGCTGGCCTCTTAGAATGAGTTTCAACGTGTTCCCTTTTCTTCAATTTTTTTGGAAGAGTTTGAGAAGGATTGTTATTAATTCTTTAAATGTTTGTTGAAATTGACCAGTAAAACCATTTGGTCCTGGGATTTTCTTTGTTGGGAGATTTTTCATTACTGGTTTAATCTCTACTTATTTTTTCCTGTTTTTTTTTTTTTTTTAATTATACTTTAAGTTCTGGGGTAGCCGTGCAGAAAGTGCAGGTTTATTACTTAGGTATACATGTGCCATGGTGGTTTGCTGCACCCATCAACCCATCATTTACATTAGGTACTTCTCCTAATACTATCTCTCCCCTTGCCCCCATCCCCCAACAGGCCTCAGTGTGTGATATTCCCTGCCCTGTGTCCAAGTGTTCTCATTGTTCAACTCCCACTTATGAGTGAGAACATGCGGAGTTTGGTTTTCCGTTCCTGTAGTTTTCAGATGTGCTCTGGCCTCCAAGGACCATGAAGCCAGGCGGTGGTGGGGGGGTGTCCTCTGTATAAAAAGTGCTGTCCCAGGAACTTCCTGACGGACACTTTGGGGCATGTGAGCGATTCCTGGGGAGGGCACCTCGGCCTTCCTAAGGCTACCCCTGCAGCCAGCGCTGGCCATTCTCACCAGCAACCAACCAAAAAACATCAGAGTCCCTGTAAACCTGGTTGTGATGATAAAAACCAAATGTTTTCTAATCTAAGACTTGTATGCAGAACACAGAAAACTGCAGTTAAGGAACACCCTACAAAATTGACCAACAGTATTTTCCAAAAACATTTTTCATCACTTTAAATAATGTACAAAATCTACAAAAATCATATTTACCAGGACACATCTGTTAAATAAAAGCATTGTTTCGTGTTGGTATACATATATACAAGACTATGTATAACAGACTGTTTCCCCTCCCTGCAACCACAGAACCATCACACACAGGCACAGATACACGTCAGCTATGCCGCTTTCCACGAATGCATGGAACCCAGGACGCGAACCCACAGCTCGAGGTCTTATACCTTCACTACTGAGCTGCCGCCACTGCAGCAGCAACACCTCTGCGGAGGTGTTGCTGAAATCACTGGTGTCCCTGCCCAAGGTGTCCTGGTCCTGGTCAACTCTACTGATTGACCCTTCGTGGATACCTCAGGTCTAAAATCCTTTCCTCCGAGCCAGAGCTCTTCCTGTTGTGCAAACTCAGCCCCGTCTGTACCTTCCTGCTTGGCCGGTGATCGCAGTCCTTCTTCGCCAGCAAGTGTGGGCTTCCAAAGACAAGGCTGGGCCTGGCCTGGGACTCCCTGAAGGCCGAGAAGGACAGGCCCTGCAGAGGCAGCCCCAGGTAGGGGCTGAAGAGGCCGGTCTCCCTGCCCCCCCAGGAGACACCCTTTCCAAAGTGGAAGAGCTGGGTGGACAGCAGCGGGGAGAAGCCCGCAAGGGGCAGGCTGGGCAGGCCCCGGGCGGGGCCCTCGGACCCCTTGTCTCTCTCTCCCAATGCCGCCCCCTCCACGCCGCATCTCTACCTTTGGAGCGCAGTGCCCATGGGCTGGGCAGCCGACTGTGGTGGGCAAAGTCACTCCAGGGCGGGGCGCGGTTGGCCTGGGCTCCAGCATCCCTCTCAGCTCCCGGGCTGGGGGTCAGGAAGCTCCGGTTCCTGCAGTCCACGTGAAAGGTCCCCCTGGCTCCTCCTGCCTCGGTGCCCGCTGTGGCACAGCTGGGCCGCTGACCAAAAGCACTTTTGGCAGCAGGCTCAGCCCCTCGTGGGCTCTGGTCTTTGTAAACGTAAACACTTCTCTTGCTCACTGAGAGACCTTGGCGGAGACACTGCCGCTGGTCCTCCTGGGTGGCGCATGATCCCCTCCGCCGGATCAGTGGGGAGCCCCTTCCCACCCTGGCTGAGCAGGCACGCTGCGCCCTGTGCTCCTGCGCTCCCTGCGCCTCGATGCCCTTTAGCCAAATGTGGGACCCCCCGGCCCTCTGGCTCCGTGTGCACATGCCAGGCAGTGGGGCCGGCTCCTTCCTGCAAGGTACCTCTGGCCTGGCTGGGCCCCCTGTCCCGAGAGCGGTGGGGCCCTCTGCCTGAACTTCTGAACTGCTCACCGACTCCTTGGCCTTTTCCACCAAAAACTTCCTAATCTCCAGTTCGATGCTATCGTCGCTGTCCACTGAACTGCTGTTGTCAGACAAGGAGCCAGGGCTGGGAGCTGGGCCCTGGGACTCTCTGGGGAATAGATTCTCTTCGGAGGCGGAGGCAGAAGCGGGTCTCCTCACCAGGAAGGCCGGGGCTTCGTCCTCTCGGCCCTGCTGCCAAAGACACTGGGGGGTTTCTTCCTGGAGCCCTCGCAGCTGTCTCTCTTGGACTTAGGCAGCTCTTCAGCACCTGCAGGTGCCTGTTTTTCCACTCTCTCAGGAGCCTGCCCAGCCGCTCCTGGAAGTGCGTCTGGGAGGTGCTGAACCTGACCTTCTTCCTGCACACAGCCCTGGGCTCCCTGGACCTCTTCTTGAGCTTTCACTTGGACCTTAACAAGTCCTTGATGGCTGTGTCCAGGTCCTTGTCACTGTCCAGGGAACTGCTTTTGTCTTCGGAGCTCTTCTTCTTGTCTAGGTGCCTTGCCTCGTCTGTCTTACCCTGGCCCTGTGACGTGCGAGTGTCACCGGGCACCCTAGCGGCGCCCTCTCCTCCCGGGGCCTCGCTGGCTGTGCCCTGGATGGAAAGGTCCCACCCTAGCGGCGCCCTCCCATCCCGGGGCCTCGCTGGCTGTGCCCTGGATGGAAAGGTCCCGCCCCTCATGGCCGGGCCCGGCTCTCCCCTGGCTGCGGTCGGCATCCTGGCCACCCTCTTTCCCCACCACCCGCATGTTCTTGGGAGTGGATGGCCTCACTTGGCAGCCGCCTCTATGCTTCCTTTTGCAGCCAGGAGTGGGTCCAGTGTTTTAGAGAGAGGGGCCTTGGGGCTGCCGGTCTGGCTGCTGAGGCCAGGTGGTGAAAGTGGGCCCTGGGCAGCCTGAGGGCAGCTCTCACCTCTGGCCAGCAAACTTCTAGACTGCACCTTGAGGGCCAAAAACGTCCAGATTTCCTGCTCAATGCTGTCGTCGCTGTCCACGGAGCTACTGTCACCATCAGAGCGGGAAGGCACGTTGGGGGAGTAGAAGAGTGGGCTTGCGGACAGGGACCCATCGCTGCCCTCCATAGGGCCGGCAGGATCGTCTTGAAAATGTCCAGGACTGCTTCTACACACATCAGCTCAGCGGAGGTGTCTGCCTGGCAAGAGGACCATTCCACAAACTTGCTCCTGGAAGCCGGGCTCGTTGGAGGTGGAGCTTTGGTTTCCTTTGGGATCTTGGGGGAATGGTCAGCGTCCAGATCCCCTGGACCAGGGTCCGTGGTCTTGGTGGGCACTGGCTTCTTCTTGCTGGGTGTTTTCCTGTGGGTCTCTGGCAAGGCACTTTTTGTGGCGCTGCTTGTGCTGTGTGCGGGAGGGGCAGGTGCTCTTTCCTCTTGGAGCTGGACCCTCTGGGGCGGGTCCCCGTCGGCCTCCTTGTGTGTTTTCTGCACCTGGTACAGCTGGATGGCCTCCTCAATGCCGTCGTCGCTGCTGGAGTCGGACGCCTCGGGAGCCTGTACGGCGCTCGTGACTCGCTTTCCCCTCCTTGCGGTGCTGGCGCTCCTTTTAATCCCACTTTTATTCTGTACTGCTTCTGAAGGGCGGTGGGGGTTGCTGGCTTTGTGCTGCCCTCCTTCTCCTGCGTGGTCGTGGTCGTGACCTTGGACCTGAGGCTTCTGGGCTGCACGTTTGTCTTTGCTAACCGGGGGAGGTCTGCAGAAGGCGAACTCCTTCTGGACGCCCATCAGGCCCTGCCGGTGCACCACCTTTGTAGCCGGCTCTTGGTGGGATTTCGAGAGTGACTTCGCCGAATTTTCATGTGTGTCTGGTTTCTTCTCCACTGACCCATCACATTTTTGGGTCTCATGCTGTCTTTTCTCATTCAGAAACTGTTCTATTTCTGCCCTGATGCTCTGCTCAAAGGAGTCTGCTCTGCTCATGCTGACTGGGGAGGCAGAGCCCTGGTCCTTGCTGGATCCCACCTGGCTGCCAGGGCCACACCACCTGAGCCAGGTACAAGTTTTGGGGAACACAGGGCAGTTGGGCACTGCTGTGAGCCAGTTCCCGCTTACATCTACTGCCTCCGCCCGCAGCCCTGGAAGGCTGTGCATGGCTGGGCCCCGCTGGCCCCGGGCTGTGCCGCTCCACTCTTTACCTTCAGGTACTCCTGGATGGCCTCCTCAATGTCCCGGTCCACGGAATCGTCACTGTCTGAATCTAGCACCAATGGGCCAAAGTCTGCAGTTTCCTCCTCCCCCACGGGGTCAAAGTCAGCAACAAGACCACAGGCAGCCAACGCAGGCAGCTCCTTGTGCATGGTGGGCTTGGCAGCAGGCCTGGCGTCGTGGCATCCCTCTGCCCCCTCTGCGCAGTGCGCTCATCGCTGGTGCCCCTAGCAGCCCTGTCGCTCTGCAGCGTGCTGATGAGCATCTGCACCCGGGTGCTCACCGACATGCTCTCCACGCCCTTGTCAGCCTCCGAGAAGCACCCGGGGAACCTAAAGCTCCCTGGCGGGACAGAGGCCTCCCATTTGGGCTGGAGAGCAACCACTGGAGGAGCATTCATGAGAAACATTCTGGCAGATGGGGAGCGACGCGCAGAGGGGCGACACTTTATTTCTCTGCAGGCTTCACATCCTCCAAAGATTGGCAAGCAGTACCCGTGAAATAACTTTAAACCTGCAAATGCTTCTTTGCAGGTTTAAAAGGATGACTATAAACTATGACGTCATGCCTAGATTCATTCTTGACCCAACCAACAAGCTCTTGACATTCTCTGAGTCCAGGTTGACTGTGATGAAAGGCAGCTAGTGTTCCCAAATGGCCCAGGGATCAGGTCTTCATCGCTCCACTCAGAGGGAAGCATCCTCTCTCTGCTTTTTAAATAGACTTTTGACTGGGGCTCCAGCAGCGCGGGGCGCGCAGACCTGGAGTTGCATGGAGGCCAGAGCCACGACACCCGCCTGGGGAACGGAGCAGCCCCAGGCGCTGATCCCCGTCCACCTGCCCCACGGAGCCCTCGCCGCCCGCTTGCCACTGCCTGCATGGCCCTCCTGTCCCCGGCCCCCCAGCCCTCCTTTCCCCAGCTCCCCCACCCTCCTGTCCCCGGCACCCCAGCTTCCCAGCCCCCGAAACCGCCCCCCCACCTCGACCCGGCCCATGCCGCAAGTCGCCCGCTGCGCGGACCCGGCCTCCGCCCGCCTCCTGCGTCCTGGGGGAGGCGGCTGCCGGGGGTGGTGGGGGAGGGGGAGGGGGAAGAGGCCGCCCTCCGCCCGGGTGCGGGGAGGGGGCGCAGGGGTGTCCGGCCAGGCCCCCCGCCTCCCCGCCTCCCCGCAGCAGCTGCCCCGCTCCCGGGCCGCCTAATACTTTTACATTTTAACTTTTATACTACAGTGAAAAGTGATTTACACACCACCACTGCAATATTACAGTGTTATGAATGTGACTATATACTTACCTTTCCCTGTGAACTTTTTTTTTTGAGACAGAGTCTCGCTCTGTCGCCCAGGCTGGAGGGCAGTGTCCATGATCTCGGCTCACTGCAAGCTCTGCCTCCCGGGTTCAAGTCATTCTCCTGCCTCCGCCTCCCGAGTAGCTGGGACTACAGGCACCCGCCACCACGCCTGGCTAATTTTTTGTATTTTTAGTAGAGACGGGGTTTCACCGTGTTAGCCAGCATGATCCCCCTCTTCTGACCTTGTGATCCACCCGCCTTGGCCTCCCAAAGTGCTGGGATTACAGGCGTGAGCCACTGCGCCCGGCCTACCTGTGAACTTAATATCTTAATGTTTTAATGTTGCTAATCAGAATCCTTTTATTTCAACTTGAAAAACTGCCTTATAAGGCAGGTGCAGTGGTGATGAACTCCCTTAGAATTTTTTTGGTGGGAGTCTGGGAAAGACCTTATCATCTCTTTTTCATTTCTGAAGGACAGCTTTACAAGTTGTGGTCTTCCTGATTGGCAGTTTTTTTCTTCCAATACATTGAATATAGCATCCTATTCTCTCCTGGCTTATAAGGTTTCTGCTGAGAAATCCACTGATAGCCTTATTGAAGTTTCCTTGTATGTGATGAATTCCTTTCTTCTTGCTGCTTTTGAAAGTCTCTGTCTTTGACTTTTGATATTTTAATTATAATACATCTTGGTATTATGGTCTTTGGGCTGGCCTTTTTTGGGGCCTCTGAACTTCATGTGTCTGGAAGCCCACTTGCCTCTAAGAATTTGGAAAGTTTTTACCCATTATGTCTTCAAATATACTTTCAGGCCTTTTCTATCTTTTTTACTTCTAGGAAGTCCATAATATGTTTGACCCACTTCATGGTGGTGTCCTATAAATCCCAAAGGTTTTTACTTATAAACTTTTTTTTCTTTCTGGTCTTCTGACGGGATATTTCAAATGTCCTGTCTTTAATTTCACAGATTCTTTCTTCTGTTTGATCAAGTCTGCAATTGAAATTCTCTATTGCATTTTCATTTCATTCATTTATTTATTTTTATATATTTTTGAGACAGAGTCTGTGTCACCCAGGCTTGAATGCAGTGGTGCCATCTTGGCTTACTCCAACTTCCACCTCCCGGTTCAAGCGATTCTCCTGCCTCAGCCTCCCTAGTAGCTAGGATTACAGGCATATGCCACCATGCCTGGCTAATTTTTGTATTTTTAATACAGATGGGGTTTTGGCATGTTGGCCAGGCTGGTCTTGAACTCTTGACCTCAAGTGATCCGCCTGCCTCGGCCTCCCAAAGTGCTGGGATTACAGGCGTCCGCCACGGCACCCAGCTTGCATTTTCATTTTATTCATTGTATTCTTCAGTTCTAGAATTTCTGTTTGGTTCTTATTATTTCTGTATCTTTATTGAACTTTTAGCTTTGCTCATCTACTATTTTCTTGATATTATTGAGTTGATATATACATTCTAGTAAATTTCACTGAGCTATCTTAATTATTTTGAATTGTCAGGCAATTTGTAGATCTCTATTTTTGGGGGGTTGATTACTGGAGATTTATGAGTTTATTTTGGTAGTGTCATATTTGCTGATTCTTCATGATCTACAGACTTTCATTAATGTCTATGAAGAAGCAAATACCTCTTCTTTTTTTTTTTTTTTTTTTTTTTTTTTGAGACAGAGTCTTGCTCTGTCACCCAGCTGGAGTGCAGTGGTGTGATCTCAGCTCACTGTAACCTCCACCTCCCAGGTTCAAATGATTCTCCTGCCTCAGCCTCCCAAGCAGCTGGGATCACAGGCATGTGCCACCACGCCTGGCTAATTTTTTTGTATTTTTTGTAGAGACAGAGTTTCACCGTGTTGTCCAGGCTGGTCTCAAACTCCTGGCCTCAAGTGGTCTGCCCGCCTTGGCCTCCCAAAGTGCTGGGATTACAGGTGTGAGCCACCATGCCCAATCTCTTTCTGTCTTTATAGATTGGTTTCAGCAGGTACAAACCTTTTCCTGCTGGATCCCTTGACTGGATCACAGTCAAGTGGGCCTGGAGCCATATTACATGGCTGCTGCCTGGTCTGCAGCTGAATCTCTGATTGGCAGGCCGCTATCAAGGCATAGGTTGGTGATGCAGTTTCTGCTGGATCCTCAGGAGAACTGGACTGCCTCTGATACCCTGATTGAACAGGACTGGAGCCAGGTCATGGGGCCACTTCTAGTTCTACAGTCAAGTCTTCAGATATCAGGCCTATTACCAAGGGCATGGACTGGTATAGCTCCCTGTGGGTCCCAGATTGAGCTCCTGCTGGTTTACTAGGTAGGTCCATGGGAAGACAGGACTGCCTCCAGACCACAGTAGAGCAGGGCTAGAGCCAAGTCACAGGACAGCTTTGGTGACCACATTTGAGTTCAAGATTGGTGGTCCTCTTATTAGGAGAATGGATGGTATGTCTTTCACCAGGTCCCAGGATGGGCTGGACTGTGCCCAGACTGTGGCAAAGCAAGACTGGAATGGAGTCACAGGGCTACTTTAGTGTCCATAGCTGAGACTGAGATCAGCAGGCCTGTTACCAAGGGTATGTAAAGGCATCACTGAATTCCTGGGCAGGCATGACTGACTGTGGTAGAGTGGGGCTGAAGCCAGGTCAGGGCTGCTTTAGTTTCTGCAGTCAGGACCATGGTTAGAAGGCCTGTTACTGGGGGCATAAATGGTCATGGTTCCTCCTAGGTGCTTAGTGGATGGGGCTAGTTGCAAGACCATGATCTAGTGGAGCTGGACCCAAGTCCATAGGAGGACAAAGCTGCTTTCAGTCTGCAACTGGTAACCTGTCACTGGTGTGTGGACCTGCCTTCTCAAAGCAGCTCTCCTTGGTTTTGGGCTTTGCTAGAGTTTTGCCACCTCCTGCCTGGATATTAAAACTCTTGCAAAGGCAGTTTTGTCCATGAATGGCTGCCAGATCATTGTTTGTGTGGGGAGAGGTGAGTGGAGGGCCTCCTGTTCTGCCATCTTGCTGATGTCACCCTAAGATGATTATTTGAATTCTTTGTCAGGCAATTTGTAGATCTTCATGTCTTTGGAGTCAGCCACTGGAGTTTCATTTTGTTTCTTTGGTGGTGTCATATTTTCTCATGCTTCCTGTTCTTTGAAGACTTAGATTGCTTTCTTCATGTTTGAAGAAGGAGTCATCTTTTCCACTCTTTACTAACTTCAGGAGAGAAAGACCATCAATTAGCTAAGCTATAGATTCTGGGGGTCTCTCAGTCCTTTTCTGTGGGTGGTCCTTCCCTTTTAAGGGGGATGTCTTAGGATTTTGTCCCTTGTCTTCATTTCACAAATGAATAAAACAACCAGACCAGACATAAGTAAGGAAATACAGCACTTGAACAACACCTGAAAAAACAACTAGACCTAACAGACATACACAGGATATTCTACCCAACAACATAATACACATACTTCTCAAGTATACATGGGACATTTTCAGGATAGACCATATAACACATCACAAATTAATTCTCAATAGGGGCTGGGTGCAGTGGCTCACATCTGTAATCCCAGAGTAATTTGGGAGGCTGAGGCGGGTGGATTGCTTGAAGCCAGGAGCTTGACATCAGCCTGGCCAACATGGTGAAACCCCATCTCTACTAAAAATACAAAAATTAGCTGGGCGTGGTGGTGCGTGCCTGTGATCCCAGCTTCTTGGGAGGCTGAAGCGTGAGAATTGCTTAGGAGCCCAGGAGGTTGAAGCTGCAGTGAGCAGAGATTGTACCACTGTACTCCAGCCTGTACTTCATGACAAAGAAAATGTACCATTGTACCACTGACAGAACGAGACCCTGTCCCAAAAAAGGAAAAAAGCTCAGTAGATTTAAAACGATAGACATCATACAAAGTGTCTTCTCTGACCACAACAGGATAAAGTTAGAAATCAATAACAGAAGATTTAAAAAAGTTCACAAATTAGTAGAATTTAAACAACACACTCTCAAACAACCAATGGATCAAAGAAATCACAAAGAAATTATAAAATTCTTAAAGACAAATGAAAATGAAAGCACACTATATCCAAACTTATGGGCTGTGGCCAGTTGTGGTGGCTCACACCTGTAATCCCAGCACTTTGGGAGACTGAGGGAGGTGGATAGCTAGAGGTCAGGAGTTCAATTTCAGCCAGGCCAACATGGTGAAACCCTGTCTCTACTAAAAACACAAAAATTAGCTGGGAGTGGTGGTACGTGCCTGTAGTCCCAGCTACCCAGGAGGCTGAGGCATGAAAATTTCTTGAACCCAGGAGGCAGAGGTTGCACCACTGAGCTAACACCACTGCACTCCAGCCTGGGTGACAGAATGAGACTCTGTCTCAAAAAACAAAGAAACAACAAAAAAACACAACTTATGAGTTGTGGTGAAAGGAGTGCTAAGGAGGAAATTTATAGCTATAAACACATTAAAAAAAGAAACACCTCAATTCAACAACATAAGTTTACACATTAAGAAACTAGAAAAAGAAGAATAAAACTAAACCCAAAGTTAGCAGAAGGAAGGAAACAATAGAGATCAGGGCAGAGATAAATGGAAAAGAGAATAGAAAAACAATAAAAAACAAAACCAAAAGTTGGTTCTTCAAAAAGATTAATAAAACTGACAAGACTAAGGAAAAGGGAAACAATCTAAATTACTTAAAACAGAAATGTATTTGAGAATATCTTTATATATTTCTGTCTGTCTGTCTGTCTGTCTGCCTGTCTATGTTTTAGAGACAAGGTCTAGCTCTATTGCCCTGGCAACAATCAGATGCAACCAGAATCAGTGGCACAATCGGCTCACTGCAGCCTTGAATTCCTGGGCTCGCCACTATGCCAGCTCTTTTTTTTTTTTTTTTTTTTAAGAGACAGGATCTTGCCATGTTATCCAGGCTGATCTTGAACTCCTGGCCTCAAGGAATTTTCCCACCTCGGCCTCCCAAATTGTTGGATTACAGGCATGACCCACCATTCCCAGCCTAGAAAGGATTATAAAAGATTACTATAAATAATTGTGTGCTCATAAATTGGATAACCCAGATGAAATAGATGAATTCCTAGACACACAAAACCTACCAAGACTCAATTATAAAGAAACAGAAAGTCAGAATAGACCTAACCTAGTAAGGGAATTGAGTCAGTAATAAGACAATCTCATGACAAAGAAAAGTCCTGGACCTGATAGCTTTACTGGTGAGTTCTGCCAAACGTTTAAAGAAGAACTAACACTGATTCTTTTCAAGCATTTCCAAAGAGTGGAAGAGGAGTGAATACCTCTTAACTCTTTCTATGAGGCCAGCATTACCCTGATACCAAAGCCAAAAACACTGTAAGAAAATAAAACAACAGATCAATATGCCTCTGATCATTGATGCAAAAACTCTAAAAATGCTAGTATACTGGGTGGGGCACGGTGGCTCATGCCTGTAATCCCAGCACTTTGGGAGGCTGAGGTGGGTGGATCACCTGAGGTCAGGAGTTCAAGACCAGCCTGACCAACATAGAGAAACTCTTGTCTCTACTAAAAATACAAAATTAGCCATGTGTGGTGGTGCATGCCTGTAACCTCAGCTACTCGGGAGGCTGAGACAAGAGAATCGCTTCAACCCGGGAGGTGGAGGTTGTGGTGAGCCGAGATCATGCCATTGTACTTCAGCCTAGGCAACAAGAGCAAAACTTTGTCTAAAAAAAAACTATCATACTGAATTCAGCATCATATTAAAAGGATTATACACCATGACCAAGTGGGATTTATTCCTGGAATGCAACGATGTTTCAATATATAAAAATTGATCCATATAAATTCAGACAATTAATTTTAACTGATGTATAGTTTTACATTATATGCACATACCACGATTCACTTTTCCATTTTCCTAGTAATGAGCTTTAAGATTATTTCCAATTTTTAGCTATTACCAATAATGTTTCAACAAACACCTTTGGACATCTCTTCTGCAAATGTGTGTGTATTCTCTTGGAGAAGGTTTACCCTGTGGAATTTCTAGTGTGTATGTGTATGTGTGTGGGTATATATATATACACATATGTATATATTTTCAACTTTACTATATATTTCCAAAAAACTCTTCAAAGTGGCAGATTTAAACTCCCCTTCGCCGTGTATAAATTCACGGTTCCTAAAGCCCTTGGCATAGTTTTGTGTTTTTATAGAAAAGGGCATAAAGTCTTATTGCTGTTGAATTGTACCTTGCTCTTTTCAATTGTCTTTTCACAATAATTCACTATTTATCATCTGTTGTGAATATTGTGTAGTAGTTCTTAATCATTTTTTCTACTATATTATTTATTTTATATCATGAATTTGTAGAAATCCTCTTTATATAATGGATATTATACTTTTCAATTATATATTTTGTAAATATTTTACCCAATTTTCTGGCTTGCATTTAACCTTTATTTAGGATGCCTAGGATTTTTCATTTTAATACAGTCTAATTTATTTTTCTTTTCTTTTCTTCTTCATGCATTCTGGCATTTGATTAATAAGCCATTTGTTGCCCAACGTCATTAGTTCTCTGTATATACTTTTAAATATCTTAAACATGTAATATTCATAAGTAATTTCACAAGTAGTTTAAGATTTGAGTCTTTAACCTAAATAGATACAGGATTTTGTGATATGCTGTAATATACAGATTTTTATTTATATATGGATAAAAATTTATATGTTTTTTCTGACATCATTTATTGAATAGTATAATTTTTCTACTGACTTTTAGTATCATATCTTTTATTACAAGTCCAATGTATTCAGCATATCTATGGATCTATTTCTTGGTGCTTCCATTTTTTCCCATTGTTTAACGGTGTATCACTGAGCCAAAGCAAACCATTTTAATTATTATAATTAAAACACATTTAAATATTGATAGGCTATTATTGTTCAGAATAACTTTGGTTCTTCCTTTCCATTGATTATTTTAATATGACTTTTCCAATCAAGTTCTAAAAAAATACTGGTGGTATATTTATTGAAATAACTTTAATAAAATTAAATGAAAGATCATGTGTTTTCTGAATTAATTCTTAGATACGTTAATGTTTTATGTTACCATGAATGTGATATTATAATATAATATTTTTAATTGGTTGCTACTGTTTATAAGAATTTCATTTTCTCTTTACTTTGCCTTCATATCTGAAAACCTTGCTGATTTGATTAGTGCATCCACAAATTTTCTTGGATTTTCTATGGGTAATTACAAATCTCCACACAATGAGGTTGCAGTGAGCCAAGATCACACCACTGTACTCCAGCCTGGGCGACAGAGTGAGACACCATCTCACAAAAACACATAAACAAACAAACAGAAACTCCACACAATGACAACGTATGTGTTTTCTTTTTTTCTTCCTCTTTCTATAATATTTCTTTGTCCTATCTTAACTGAACTGGCCAGAAACCCCAGGACAATGATAAATACGAGCAGTGTCAACAGACATCTCATTCCCTTTCCTAGCTTTTATAAAAAATAACGATTATGCTTCAACATTACATATGGTGGTGTCGATGGTTTTGTTATAGATAAGCTTATCAGGTTAAGAAATTTGTCTGCTTTTCCTAGTTTGGTATAAAGATTTTAATATAAATGAATGTTGTATTTTACCATCTTATTTTTTTTCCTACATCTGCTAAGGTAATCCTGTGTTTTCCCTTTTTCAATCTCCTAATGTGGTGAATGACATTAAAATACCTTCTATTGTTAAAATATTCTTGCAACGCTGTATAGAACCAATGCCTTTATTCTGTATTGCTGATGGATTTTTGAAAAATATGTAGGTGGACTTAGTTTTCTAAGGGGAATAGAATTTCTAGTATATTTAAACTATTTTGCATGTATGTTCTGAAGGACATTGGTGTGTCATTTCTATACCATCTGGCTACGAGAGGAGCCGACTGAAAGTCACACTGCCGGAGGAGGGGAGAGGTGCTCTTCCGTTTCTGGTGTCTGTAGCCATCTCCAGTGGTAGCTGCAGTGATAATAATGCTGCGGTGCCGACAGTTCTGGAAGGAGCAACAACAGTGATTTCAGCAGCAGCAGTATTGCGGGATCCCCACGATGGAGCAAGGGAAATAATTCTGGAAGCAATGACAATATCAGCTGTGGCTATAGCAGCTGAGATGTGAGTTCTCACGGTGGCAGCTTCAAGGACAGTAGTGATGGTCCAATGGCGCCCAGACCTAGAAATGCACATTTCCTCAGCACCGGCTCCAGATGCTGAGCTTGGACAGCTGACGCCTTGGATCATCTGCCACTGATCTCTGGTCAACATTTTTATCACCCAACACAAAAGAAGCAGAGATTTATCAAGTTACTTAAACAACCTGACCCTTTCATCTTTTGCTACACATACTCTTGTAATTGATCTCTCCATGAATTGTTTTCTGTTTAAAATATCTAGAATGTTTTCTGCTTCCTGACTTGATTCTAATATTGTATAGGTACTAGAAATGGTTCTAGAAATAGATCTTTATAGATGAGAATCTGGAAGTGGTTTGCTGACCTGTTTCAGTCTGAATGAATTCCTGACCTTGTTGTCGGGAGGAGACAGAAACCTGATCATCTGTAGTGTACGGTGGTATCATGATTACTTAAATCATCAAATGTGGTTATTGGGAATGATGTGTTTTTTAAAGTGGTACATGAGAGGTAAAATTGCTATTGTAGTTGACTGTTGCAGTTATAATTTTGTCAACATGGTCTGTAAGAGTGCAATGGATTCGGCCCGGTGTGGTGGCTCACGCCTGTAATCCCAATACTTTGGGAGGCCAAGGTGGGCCGATCACGAGGTCAGGAGATCGAGACCATCTTGGCTAACACAGTGAGACCCCATCTCTACTAAAAATACAAAAAATTAGCCATGTGTGGCGGCACACGCCTGTAGTCCCAGCTACTCGGGAGGCTGAGGCAGGAGAATGGCGTGAACCCGGGAGGCAGAGCTTGCAGTGAGCCGAGATCGCGCCACTGCACTCCAGCCTGGGCGACAGAGCAAGACTCCATCTCAAAAAAAAAAAAAAAAAAAAAAAGAGTGCAATGGAAAGCTGGTAGAAAATGGACATTGTTTAAAGACCAAAACAACCACACTACTTTGCTAATCCCTATCAGCTAAAGCCTAGAGAATATATGAGGTATAGATTTACATGGTGTTTGACTAAGGCATGCAGAATATAATCTTGACATAGGCTAAGTTTATCAACATAGATACATAGAGATTCTGAAGTTAAAGTCTTAGCCCAAGAAGTTAGAAGGGGTGCTCAAGTTTGTTTGTCTGACAGAAACTGTGAATCCACACTGGCCTGCTTATTTTGAGGTTGTGTTGCCAGAGCTTTCCTAGCATAATAAAGAGAGGTGCATACAAAGGAATAGGAATAGTAGGAGGTGGGGGTAAAAATATCAGGTGTGATCCACATGCCAAGCCGACCCGCACTGTGTCCCACAGGAAGCCCAGAAGATGTTTCTCTAAGAAATTAAGGATTCGTTTGTTGGGGAGGGCTGCTGGCATGCTTGAAAAGTACTGTGATGGCTGAATTTTGTGGGCTTGGGGAGATTGCAGATTCTCTGATTTCAAGGGGAATGATGTGATCCTAGAGTTGCAAAGAACAAGTGACAGTGGAGGCGCTTATGCTTTGTGACTGCACTAGAGACAAGGAAGACACAACTAGAATAATGGGGAGCAGGAATGGAGCGGCCAACAGAATATGTGACTGTTAGGGATCTTTGATGAAGGCTGATTCTCAGGGAGTGAACTACATCAGTGACCAACTATTTGTCTTTATATAACTGGGTAATGTGGATGGATTCTAATAAAGGGACTACTTACAGCACAGCAGGAAAGTCACAAAGAAACCAGACAGAAGAGTGTAAGTAGTAAGGGGCCAAGCAGTCACCTGACTAGAGACAGTGCCAGCTTGCCAAGAAGGCACCAGACAGAAGCTGTGATCTTCAGCAAAGGGACACAGTCTGCCTGTGCTGACCCTGCAGGGGCAGAGGTGGGGGATAAACACACTCTTCTCTCACCTATCTTCTGCCACCCCCTCCATTAGCTGAACCCCAATAAAAGCATGAGGGTAAGGGAGATCTCTGAAGTATCCAATTCAGGTGAGCCTCCTAAGGAACAAAGCAGAATGCAGAAAAATTAAGAGTGGGTCTAGGGAATAAAATAGAGATATGCACCAGAGTATGATGATGTGTCTGGGAAAGAATATACAAATACTTTTAAAATTACTAGACAATAAACCTGAGATGACACTAATACAGGTAAATCTCATTTAATGGTAATATATTCCAAGAAATGCATCATTAGGTGATTCTGTGGCTGTGCAGACACCAAAGAGTGTACTTTATACAAACCTAGACAGCGTAGCCTACTACATACCTAGGCTATATCGTACAGCCTATTGCTCCTGGGCTACACACCTGTGCAGCATGTCACTGTGCTGAATACAGTAGGCCAATGGTCCCCAACACCCAAGCCATGGACCAGCACCGGTTCGTGTCCTGTTAGGAACTGGGCACAAAGCAGGAGATGAGTGGCTGGCCAGCCGAACATTACTGCCTGAGCTCCGCCTCCTGTCAGATCAGCAGCAGCATTAGACCTTCACAGGAGCACAAACCCTATTGTGAACTGCCCATAGAAGGGATCTAGGTTATGTTCTCCTTATGAGAATCTAACTAGGCTGGGTGCTGTGGCTCACGCCTGTAATCCCAACACTCTGGGAGGTCGAGGCAGGTGGATCACAAGGTCAAGACAATCCTGGCCAACATGGAAACCCCGTCTCTACTAAAAATACAAAAATTAGCTGGGTGTGGTGGCGCATGCCTGTAGTCCCAGCTACTCGGGGGACTGAGACAGGAGAATCACTTGAACCCGGGAGGCAGAGGTTGCAGTGAGCCGAGATTGTGCCACTGCACTCCAGCCTGGCAACAGTGGGAGACTCAGTCTAAAAAAGAAAAAAAAAGAAAAAAAGAATCTAACTAATGCCTGATGATCTGAGGTGGAAGAGTTTCAGCCCAAAGCCATCCCCACTCCGTGGAAAAATTATCTTTCACAAAACCAGTCCCTGGTGTCAAAACTTTGGGGCCCACTGCTGTAGGCAGTTATATCACAGTAGTAATATCTAAACATGGAAAAGATACAGTAAAAACACAGTACATTGGGAGACCGAGGGGGGCGGATCACCTGAGGTTAGAAGTTCGAGACCAGCCTGACCAACATGGAGAAACTCCGTCTGTACTAAAAATACAAAATTAGCTGGGCGTGCTGGCGTGGGGCTGTAATCCCTGCTACTCGTGAGGCTGAGGCAGGAGAATCACTTGAACCCCGGAGGCAGAGGTTGCAGTGAGCCAAGATCGTATCATTGAACTCCAGCCTGGGCAACAAAATAAAACTCCTTCTCAAAAAAAACAAAGAAAAAAATATATATATATTACAAAATTTAAAGAGAGTGGTACACCAGTAAAGGACATTTAGCATGAACAGAGGTTGCAGGACTGGCAGATGCTCTGATGAGTCAGTGAGTACCTGGTGAGTGAATGCGAAGGCCTAGGATATTACTGTACATAACTATAGACTTTATATGCACTGTACACTTAGGCTACACTAAATGTATTTAAATTTTTTCTTTCTTTAACAAGTTCATCTTAGCTTATCATAACTTTATAAACTTTTAATTTTTTTAATTTTTTGATTCTTTGATAATAACACATCTTAAAACAAAAACACATTGAACAGCTGTACAGAAATACTTTATATCCTTATTTGATAAGCTTCATTTATTTTGATTTTTTATGTTTTAAACATTTTTGTTAAAAACTAAGATACAAACACACACACTAGCTTAGTCCTGTAAGGGTCAGGATAATCAATATCACTGTCTTCCATCTCGAAATCTTGTCCAAGTGAAAGGTCTTCAGGGTCTTCAGTGGCAATAACATACATGCAGCTGTCATTCTCTATGATAACAAGGCTTTCTTCTGGAAGAACTCGTGGAAGACCTTCCTGAAGCTGTTTCATAGTTAATTTTTTTTAATGAGTAGTAGTACTACACTCTAAAATATGAATAAAATCTGTAGTATTATACATACTGTTGATCCTTGAACAGTGCAAGGGTTAGGGGACCAGCTCCTGTGCAGTTGAAAATCCATATATAATTCTGGGCTATCCCCAAACTTAACTTAATATGATATATATCATATATAATATATATGATATATATCGTATATATTACATATGATATATATCATATATAATATATACGATATATATCATACATAATATGTATGATATATATTATACACAATATGTATGATATATATTACATACAATAAGTATGATATATATTATATACAATATGTATGATATATATTATATACAATATATGATATATATTATATACTATATGATATAGATTATATACAATATATATGATAGAGATTATATACAATATATATGATACAGATTAAATACAATATATATGATACAGATTATATACAATATATATGATACAGATTATATACAACATATATGATAGATTATATACAATATATATGATATAGATTATATACAATATATATGATATAGATTATATACAATATATATGATATAGATTATATACAATATATATGATATAGATTATATACTACATATGATATACATGATATATCATATATATGATATACATGGTATATCATATATGATATATACGATATATCGCATATATGATATAGATGATATATCGTATATATGACATAGATGATATATCATACCTGATATAGATGATAAATAATATATGATATAGATGATATATATCATATATGATATATCATATATTATATAATAAATGATATATATTATATATAATAAAAGATATATATTACATAATAAATGATATATATTATGTAAAATATATGATATATATTATATATTATATCTGATATATATTATATATTATATATTTTATCTGATATATATTATATATTATATCTGATATATTATATATAATTATATTATATTATATTATATATTATATATTTTATATTATATGATATATAATTATATTATATTATATTATATTATATATATTATATTATATATAATTATATTATATTATATATTATATATTATATTATATATAATTATATTATATGATATTATATATTATATATAATTTATGATATATATTATGTATTATATATAATTTATGATATATATAATATATTATTTATCATATATCATATATATTATGGTATATTATATATAATTGTATTATATATAATAATATATAATATACCATAATATATCATATATTATATAATATATAATATAATATAATATAATGTAATCATATATAATATATAATATATTATATTATAAAATATATTATATTATGATATACTATATATTACATGTTACATTATATAATATTTTGTATAATATATAATATATATTATCTATTATACTTTATTATATTACATATATAATTATACATTATTATATTTCATATATAATTATATAATTATACATAATTATATATATTATATTATATATAATGTTATGTATAACAATATATATTATACATAATATTATATATTATATTAAATATGATATTATATATAAGGATGCAGGATGTAAAAGGAAATTATATATATGTTATATATTATATATATTATATTATACATAATATATATATATATTTGGGGGTGCCCTATTTCCTATCTCATAACTTATTTTAAGAAGCACAGCATAATAATGTGTGGACTTGGGATTCAGTTTTTGAAATGAAACACTGAGCCTTCGATGACCTTCCTGTACATGTGAAAGCACACCTGTCTGCATGGCAGCAGTTGGACCTCACAGTGTGGATTGTGCCTTCACCCTGGAATGTTTATGCCCTATCGCCATGGTGATGGGATTAGGGATCTGCTGCCCTTGGTCCTAAGTGCCACTATCTGTGCTGAGTTTTTCAAAGGTCAGAGCAGATTGAACCTTTGTGGTTTCATTTTCCCTGATTTTGATTTTTCTTATGGGGAACCTGTGTGGCTGCATTCAAGGTATGTTCATACTGGCCTGTCAAATGCGATCTTTTCAAATTACTAGTTAATGCTTTCAAAATATGTTATTTAAAAAATTAGCCTCTGTATTTTCCATATGCAGTTATAAATATGTTTCATGGTTAGGTTTTATTCCTCAATTTATATATTTGATTATTGTACCAAGCAGAGTACCTTTGAAATTTTTCTTCATTTAAAAAATATGTATCTTGGCTCAAGCCTGTAATCCCAGCACTTTGGGAGGCCAAGGCAAGAGGATCACAAGGTGAGGAGATGAAGACCATCCTGGCCAATGTGGCGAAACCCTATCTCTACTAAAAATACAAAAAATTAGCCAGGCATGGTGGCAGCTGGTGTAGTCCCAGTGTGGTGTAGCCCCAGCTACCTGGGAGGCTGAAGCAGGACAATCGCTTCCACCCGTGAGGCAGAGGTTGCAGTGAGCCAAGATGGCACCATTGCATTCCAGCCTGTGCAACAGAACAAGAATCTGTCTAAAAAAAATTATATATATATAATGTATATTATATGTACTATATATTACATAAAACATATAATATATAATATATATAATATATATAAAATATAATATACATTATATATAAATAATATATATTATATGTCACGTTATGTAATATCTATGATACATATTACATAATAAAAGACATATATAATATATGATATATATTACATATAATATATGATATATATTACATATAATATATGATATATATTACATATAATATATGATATATATTACATATAATATATGATATATATTACATATAATATGTGACATATATTACATACAATATGTGACATATATTATATGTAATATATGATATATAATATATAATATATGGTATATAATATATAATATATGATATATAATATATGATATATAATATATAATATATGATATATAATGTTATATTACATATAATTATATTATATTATATTATATATATCATAATATATTATATAATATATAATATATATCATAATATATTATATAATATATAATATATATCATAATATATTATGTAATATATATAATATATCATTTTATATATTATATATAATATGTCATAATATATTATATAATATTATATATAATATATCATAATATATTATATATTATATTATTATAAAATATATAATACTATATAATGTTATATATAATATAATATTATATTAGATTATAATATATAATATTATATTAGATTATAATATATAATATTAGATTATAATATATAATATATTAGATTATAATATACATTATATTATAATATATTATTGTATAATATGTTATAATATAATATATATTATATATTATATTATACATAATATTATATTATATATAATATATATAATATTTTATACAACATATTATATATAATATCTTATATAATATATTATACAATATATTATATTGTATAATATATTATATATATTATGTATTATTATCTTGTATATATAATTATATATAATTATATAATTATATATATTATATTATAGGTAATAATTATATATAATTATATATTATATTATATGTAATAATTATATATAAGTATATATTATATTATATGTAATAATTATATATAATTTATGTATTATATTATATGTAATAAATACACATAATTATATATATTTTATTATATATATTATGTATAATTGTATATTATATTATATATAATAATTATAGGTTATATTAGATATATTAATTGTATTTTATATTATTTTTAATATTAGTTAATATTAATTAATAATAATTAATTTAAATATTAATTATTATTTTATATATTATATTATATATTATGTTATATATTATATTATATATTATATTATATTATATATTATATTATATTATATATTATATTATATATTATATTATATATAATATAGATAATTATATATTATATATCATTATATATAATTACATATATTATATTATATTGCTATATATATTCATATATATTATATTATATATAATAATACCTATTATATTATACATAATATTATATATAATATAAGGATGCAGGATGTAAAAGGAAATTATATATATGTTATATATATTATATATATTATGTCATATATAATTATATATATATATTTTTTTGGGTGCCCTATTTCCCATCTCATAACTTATTTTAAGAAGCCAGCATAATAATGTGTGGGCTTGGGATTCAGTTTTTGAAACAAAACACTGAGCCTTTGATGACCTTCCTGTAGTTGTAAAAGCCCTCACCTGTCTGCATGGCAGCAGTTGGACCTCACAGTGTGGATTGTGCCTTCACCCTGGAATGTTTATGCCCTATCGCCATGGTGATGGGATTAGGGATCTCCTGCCCTTGGTCCTAAGTGCCACTATCTGTGCTGAGTTTTTCAAACGTCAGAGCAGATTGAACCATTGTGGTTTCATTTTCCCTGATTTTGATTTTTCTTATGGGGAACCTGTGTGGCTGCATTCAAGGTATGTTCTTACTGGCCTGTCAAATGCGATCTTTTCAAATTACTAGTTAATACTTTCAAAATATATTATTTAAAAAATTAGCCTCTGTATTTTCCATATGCAGTTATAAATATGTTTCATGATTATGTTTTATTCCTCAATTTATATATTTGATTATTGTACCAAGCAGAGTATCTTTGAAATTTTTCTTCATTTAAAAAATATGTGTCTTGACTCAGGCCTGTAATCCCAGCACTTTGGGAGCCCAAGGCAAGAGGATCACAAGGTGAGGAGATCAAGACCATCCTGGCCAATACAGTGAAACCCTGTCTCTACTACAAATAGAAAAAATTAGCCAGGCATGGTGGCAGCTGGTGTAGTCCCAGTGTGAATTGGGATTCAGTTTATTCCCAAATTCCCAAATTTTATATATATATATATATAAAATATATTAAATATATTATATATATACTATATATTATATTATATATAATTATATATATATATATTTTTGGGTGCCCTATTTCCCATCTCATAACTTATTTTAAGAAGCCAGCATAATAATGTGTGGGCTTGGGATTCAGTTTTTGAAACAAAACACTGAGCCTTTGATGACCTTCCTGTAGTTGTAAAAGCCCACCTGTCTGCATGGCAGCAGTTGGACCTCACAGTGTGGATTGTGCCTTCACCCTGGAATGTTTATGCCCTATCACCATGGTGATGGGATTAGGGATCTCCTGCCCTTGGTCCTACGTGCCACTATCTGTGCTGAGTTTTTCAAAGGTCAGAGCAGATTGAACCATTGTGGTTTCATTTTCCCTGATTTTGATTTTTCTTATGGGGAACCTGTGTGGCTGCATTCAAGGTATGTTCATACTGGCCTGTCAAATGCGATCTTTTCAAATTACTAGTTAATGCTTTCAAAATATGTTATTTAAAAAATTAGCCTCTGTATTTTCCATATGCAGTTATAAATATGTTTCATGATTATGTTTTATTCCTCAATTTATATATTTGATTACTGTACCAAGCAGAGTATCTTTGAAATTTTTCTTCATTTAAAAAATATGTATCTTGACTCAGGCCTGTAATCCCAGCACTTTGGGAGGCCAAGGCAAGAGGATCACAAGGTGAGGAGATCAAGACCATCCTGGCGAATACAGTGAAACCCTGTCTCTACTACAAATACAATCAATTAGCCAGGCATGGTGGCAGCTGGTGTAGTCCCAGTGTGAATTGGGAGTCCGTTTATTCCCAAATTCCCAAATTTTATATATATATATATATAATATATATAATATATAATATATTATATATATTTTATATAATATATAATATATATAACATATATATTATATATAATATATACATTATATGTAATATATTATATATATTTTATATTATATATAAAATATATATACTATATATAATATATATAGTATATATAATATATATTATATATAATATATATAGTATATATAATATATATTATATATAATATATATAGTATATATAATATATATTATATATAATATGTATAATATTATATATTATATATATTATATATATTATATATTATATATTATGTATATAATATATATTATTTATATATTATATATAATATATAATATATAATATATAATATATAATTATATATTATATATATTATATATTATATAATATATAATAAATAATATATATTATATATATAATATATATGATATATAATTATATATTATATATTATATAATATATAATATATAATAAATAATTATATATCATATATATAATATATATAATATATATAAATAATATATATTATATACATAATATAATTATCATATATTATATATATGTCATATATAATATATGTCATAATATAATATATGTCATAATATATATAATATAATATATGTCATAATATATATATAATTTCCTTTTACATCCTGCATCCTTCAACCTGCATCCTTCAACGTTCCATCCCCCACCCCACAGATTAAGTTATTCCCCTGGGGAGAATATGGCGAAGTCTATTTTAATGCTGTTTTTAACCCAATTAAGAACCTATGAAATCATTACTTTCCAAAACTTTGGAACAAAGCCACAGTAGTAAGGATCCGTTGGAGGCTTTTCACACAATAAAATGTAACTCTCTTTGTTTTTAACATGTTTTTCCCTTCCTCTCTTCTTTTTTTGTGAAATGTGTATTTACTTTAATATATTTGTAGTAAGTCACTTCCATGCACATATTAATTTTTTAAAGTAATAAGCATGTGTATTGTCTACGTGTGAAAGAAAACACACATTTATTTTTATGCTTTGGAAGTTATCCAGAATCATGGAATTGTCAATCACAGTCAATCACCCAACCTACTCACCTTTCCAGTGTAATCTTAGTCAAATTTTTTTTTTTGTTATCCAATGAGATGCAGTATTTCAACTCAGAAAGATAAATAGAGTGAATTTATAGAGACTATTAACTAAGAACATACAGTTTGATTTATACTCAGAAGCAAGTAGATTATGTACATATATATGAAGATAAAAATTAAAAGGATAATTGTGTAAATTTGCATGTAGAGGGCTTTGAAAACCTGTTTACTTGTGAATGCTGTTTTGATGTATTGTGTCTTTGTTCTCCCGACCCATCATCCAGAGCTCTCTGCAGGAGCTAAGTGCTCATCAGTTCCATGACTTGGAAACTGTCTAAGTTTAGAGGCACTTGTATTTGTTAGTAAATAAGGCAAGATGATATTGTTTCACAGGTTTTAGTGCCGAAGACTGAATAGATAAGCTGCTCCACCCAGTACACTGGTGTTCATTTCATGGTCATCTCATCTGTTAACCATGGATATAAAACATTTATCTTCAATGATGGGGTTTTACCATGTTGGTCAGGCTGGTCTCGAACTCCTGACCTCAAATGATCCACCCACCTCCACCTTCCAAACTGCTGGGATTACAGGTGTGAGCCACTATGCCTGACTGATTATTTTCATAACCAAGAAAAGAAATAAATACAATTAATGCTGGTGCATGGTATTAAATCTAGTTTTTAAAAAATTCACACATAAACAGGGCAGAACCCTATACCCTCCATGATAAATGCAGTAGCAGTGTATGTGGGTCTGTGGAGGTTGAAAGGGACTTGGTCGATGTCAAGAAGGTAGTGGCAGTCCTGCTGGGCTTTTAAAGGGTCTGAAGAAGTGACAGGATGCTGTGGTTGAATCGTAGCATGTGTTTTAGCATTTGTTCATTTGGAGTTGATTATTTCACGTTGCTTTCATTTGCCATTACCTGGAAAGCCAAGGGCTCTACTCTCATTTCCTTGCTGCTCTTTCTTTGCCTTCCTTGGTCCGTGAAGAAGATGGTCCAGGAGAAGCTCATTCCATGCTTGTTAACCAGGCACGCCCCTAAGTTCCAGTCCCTGAGTCATTCATGAGTAGCACTGCCAATGAACTGACAGCCATGCTGTGTCCCTCCACATCCCCTAGGTGACTCGAAGAAGCCTTCCAAAAAGCGTGTGAAAAGGAAGCCCTACTCTACCACCAAGGTAAAGTAGCCTGTCTTTGCCTAAGATGTAAATGTTGTTTTCTTGGATCCTTTATTTTTCAGTTGATATCAGCTATGGGAAAATTCTCCACTACATTATAGGTGTTAGATAATATTTCCTTGGGGATGGAGGAGGTGTATTTTACCAACTGACACCTGATTCCAGAGGACGTGCAAAATTGGCAGTGTCAGATAGTACACTGGGTGTTAAGGGATGTTTTCTTCAGGAACAAGCTTTCCACTTTAGATAAGAATTCTGCAATTGCTACTCAAAAATTACCTAGACAGAAACATTCTTCAACAAAAGCTCCTGTGCTTTCCTAAGGCAACTCTACTCTAGAGTTGGGGCTTTTGACTTGAACCTTATTTCCAGTCTTGGTTACCCAGAGTTTCCAAGTGAACAAAAGACCTGTGTGAGCCATCCATAGCATAGCCTGATTCTCAGAGTGTTTTCCTTCTCTAATTACAGGTGACTTCAGGGAGCACATTCAATGGTACGTATTCTGGAATCACTCACTGGTTGTTAGAAAAGGATTCTACAGGAAATCTGGAGCTTAACTGCTGGCTTTTGTCTGGAGAGCCTCCATGATCCAAGACATCTGGTGGGAATGAGGATGTAGGGTATAGTAAAAGAAACTGGTTTTCCTGGTGACATACTCTTTTTATCTATGTATAGTTTCTGGGAACATGTTCACATTAGGTTGTGTGTGGGTATGTGTGTATTAGGGCGGGGGTGGGGTGAGGTGGTCTGTGTGCAAGTCTGCATGATTTGCTTGTGAATGTGTGTCTATGTGTGTTTCCCCTAGGAAAAAAATGTTGTGTTTACCCAGCACAACTCTCAGTGCCATGTTTCTTAATTTAACAAATCAGACCACATACTTTACTTACATTAGTTCACACCTCATCATCATCATGCCCATATGTTGTGAGCTTGTTTATTGAGCCCACATGCCAGATGGAGAAACTAAGCCACATAAATAAATGTGCCCTGGTTCACTTGCTGCATAGTGAAGAGTCAAAATGTTTCCTCATACGGTGCTAATGTTGAAGGCCTGAACTACAACCACTATTTATCAGC
The DNA here is from genome assembly GCF_000001405.40 of Homo sapiens. Taxonomy (NCBI): domain Eukaryota; kingdom Metazoa; phylum Chordata; class Mammalia; order Primates; family Hominidae; genus Homo; species Homo sapiens. Next base: position 18,426,113 of record NC_000022.11, read on the forward strand.
CAGTGAAGAGATCACTATTCACCATGCAAGGGAGTTCCAGCACCCTCTATGCCTGGAATTACCCACGCCTGCAGAGATCCCAAACGCCATCCCTCACATAAGACAGCCTCATGATCTCATAATCCAGGTAGCTATGTAGACATCTTCCTGCAGGTGTCACATAGTCCTTAGTGTGAAACCAACATAGAAAGCCCATGTTTCTGATCAAATCACAGGTTCTGAAACACTAAGGGAGGCACTAAGTAGGACAATGTGGTGCCTGCGTGTCATAGCTGGGTCTCCTCAAGACATGGATCAAGTCCAGTAAGAATTGGGGAGATGCTTTAGAGTCTTGATGGAGTTATCACCACAAGCCCTCTGAGCTACACACTTTAGGGATCATGACCATTAAGTACTCAAATTACCATTTGGTTGTTATCCGGGTATCCGTCGTCCTTGTGGCAACCCTCTTGTGAAGCTGGTGTGGACAGCCTCAGTGCTGGAGCTGTGCCTGCCTTCTGAGTGGACCCTTTCTGTGTTAGCAGGTGGGTACAAGCGTGGGGGTCAGCACACTCAGTGGATTTACACACACAGCGTTGAAGAGTAAGGCTGGGCTTCATTATTTATACATTTTCAATAAATGATGATCTTCATAACATAAAATCAATGATGTAGTACACTAGAATACTGTCCCTAGTATTGAATCTTGTCTCTCAGCAAAGGGTTGCTTAAAGTCACGTGACAGATTCCATTCAACTGATGACACATGCTGTAGCAGCAGTTAAAGCAGTCATTTGAAAAGGCTTTTACTATAAACTTACGTGTGAGCCTGAAGTGGGGGATAAAAGAGGCGATTAGCTCCCCTGTGCCATGTTTCTCTTATGTGCGTGGTGGAGGAAAATTACACAGGAAGGTGATGGAGAGAACAGAGCAAAGGATTGGACAGGTCCATTGAACCCATAAGACTATGGTGAGGTTAGTGAATGAGACTGGTCATTTTAGGTCAAATTTTACCCAGAGCTGGTGCAGCCACTGCCCATTCTTAGCCAGACCTTATTGCAGGCAGCTCTGATCAATAGTCAAGGAGGCAGTGGGGGTTGCAGACTTAATTCATTAAATCACCAAAGCACCAGCCCACACGGCCACTTTTCCAGTTAATTCACAGTAGCTTGCATATTCAGGTTTGATCAGTGGAAGGGAAGTTACTCTTTGCAGACCCATCTTTTGACAATCATTTTGCAGTGTCGGAAGGTCTGAGCAGCCTCGGGAGGCAAGCAGTCCCTGGTCCCTCAGTGTAGTCACTGGAGGAGACAGTCACTGAGAGGCAGCTGGCAGGGTGAAGGGAAAGGGGAGGCAGGCCACAGAGATGACAGCCTTTAAGCTGTCATACTGGGAGGTCAAGGATCTGAAAGAGGAAGGAGAATTCTTTATCATTAAGGACCTGTCCTTATCTCAGGCATTTCCTCCAGAGCATCACCTTTGTCCACCCACACACCTTGGGCTAGGAGGACTGGAGAAAAACAGTGAGGGGTCTCTTGGGTCTCTGGCACAGGGCGTGATGAAGAGGTGGCAGTTTTTCAGGAATCTCTCTCTCTAGGGAACCAAATACATTTCCCATCTCAGGTCCTTCACTCAGCGGGGTTGAGGTTCTGCTCGTCACTTATCATCTCTGAATGTCAGCACCCTCAAGTGTAAAATCTCAGTCACAGCCCCTCCTCTGCACCCCCTGCAGGGCTGATGTTCTCCATAAACCATAAGGCATCATGCCCACGGAAAAGCCGAACAGGAAAGCATGCTCCACTGCCCCGGAGCCATCCAAGTTCCCCCTCCATATTCCGCCACTGCTGAGTGTCCAGCTTATTCCTCCTGGCCTGTAGTAAACACTTAGAGAACATTACTGAAGTACCAGTCCTCTCTAAGGTTTTCCTGTATTTAGTGATTTTTTAGCCCTGTACTGTGATACTAAGAAGTAGGGCCTAAATAGGGCCTAAAAAGTATTGCTAAAATTACATTATGACAGTGCAGAGAACTGAGGGCAGAGGGAGGACATGAGCTTGCCAGGTCCACATGGCTTAGTGGAATTTGAATCCGGGCCCCTACTCTGCACCAGCCCTGCACTCACAGTCATCCTGCTGTATTCTCCTCTCCAGGAAGGCACTGCCCACGCAGTCTGTCTGATAGAGGTGTTGAGTGCTCACTGAACTCCGTGATCTTCCTGAAACCCAACTTTGATTCAGTGGGCTCTGCTTGGAAGCCTGTAAAGAAAAGGATCATAAGTTTAAACTTAGAACAGATTATCACTATTTTCCCTCTGGTCCTCTGTCAGCAAGATGTCAACAGCCCTATCTATTGTAAATGCATTAACCAGCATCTTCTCTGATAGAGAATATAAGAAGATATGCTGTGCACACCAACCAGTGTAGGAGACCTCATGGCTCCCGGGTAAAGAAGAAGAGGTACCCACAAGAAGGTACTGTGGAAGTTCATTAATTAAGTTGATTCAAGAATTGCAGTTGCGGGGAGTATTCAGTGTCCCATATGTAAGAGGAAACTATGAAGAGACTAAGCCATATTTTTTAATGTGTCAGGATTCTAATTTGCCTGGTCAGTAAATATTGCTACCACCACAAAAGTAAATATCTACTTAAAAGTCAATTTTGGTTCATGTTTAATGATAGACAATGTTTCAAGCTAATGTCTAGAACTTACCTGGTTGTTAAACATAAGCATAGATCTCCCTGAAAGAGTGGTGCTATATTATTATTTTTCAATTAATATATTTCTTTAGAGAGTTTTAAATTGACATAAAAACTGAGCATATGGCCGTGTGTGGTGGCTCACACTTATAATCCCAGCACTTTAGGAGGCCAAGGCAGGCGGATCATCTGAGGTCAGGAGTTGGAGACCAGCCTGGCCAACATGGTGAAACCCCATCTCTACTAAAAATCCAAAAAAATTAGCCGGGTGTGGTGGCAGGCGCCTGTAATCCCAGCTACTCAGGAGGCTGAGGCAGGAGAATCGCTTGAACCCGGGAGGCAGAGGTTGCAGTGAGCCAAGATCATGCCATTGCACTCCAGCCTGGGTGACAAGAGTGAAACTCCATCTCAAAATAAATAAATAAATAAATAAATAAATAAATAAATAAATAAAAATTGAGTATATAATACACGAAGTTCCCATATTATTCTGTCTCCTCACCCTCACTTCCTAATTTCACCTATTAGTAACATCTTACATTACTGTGGTACATTTGCTAGAATAATGAGAAAATATTGACACATTATTATCTGAAGTCTGCATTTGCATAATGTTCATTCTTTCTGTTATACATATATATGAATTTTGAAATATTTAAAACATTATGTTCACCCTTATGGTCTCATAAAGAAAATGTTCACTTCCCTAAAAATCCTCTCTTCTCATTAATCTCTGTCCTCTTTCTCCAGAAACCTTGGCAACTATTAATATTTTTACTATCGCTTCAGCTTTGCCTTTTCCAGAATGTCATATAGTTGGAATCATATATTATGTAGTTTTTTCAGATGAATTTATTGCACTAAATTGATGTACGCTTTAGCTGCTTTCATGTCTTTTTTATGCCTTAATGGCAAAAAATGGCACATTAAATCACCAAATAATATTGCATTAAATGAATTTTTGTCTTTTTATTCACCTGTTGAAGAATTCGGTAGATTTCATGAGAGAAACCATCTGGGCCTGGTGCTTTCTTTTTCGGAATGCTCTTAATGTGAATTCAACTTATTTAATAGACATAAGTTTATTCAAATTAGGATCCTAGCATGACCTTGGGAAGATTGCCTTTCAAGGAATTGATACATTTCACTGAGGTTATCAAACTGCGCTCATAGAACTGTTCATGATATTCCTTTTAATGCCTAACAGTTCAGTAGAGATGGCTCCTCTTTTATTTCTGAAATTGGTCATTTGTGTTATCTTCTTTTTCTTGGTTAGCCTGCATATCAATTCATTCATTGTAATGAGCATATCAAAGAACCAGCTTTTGGTTTTATTGATTTTCTGATGATTTCAGTGTTTTAATTTTATTGATTTCTGTGATGTTGTTTATTACTTTTACTTGCTTTCCATTGCATTCCTCTATTTTCTATAGTTCCCTAATTGAAACATGATATTACTGATTTTAGGTCTTGTGATTTTTAGTATATTGCATCCAATGCTATAGATTTCCCTCTAAGGACTGCTTTTGCTACATCCAGAAATCTTGCCAAGTCACATTTTCTTTTAATGTAGTTAAAAGTACTTTTAATTTTCTATTGAGACTTCTTCTTTAACCCAACAGTTATTTAAAAGTGCATTGCTAATTTGCAAATATTTGGGGATTTTGTGGCTCTTTTACAGTTGTTGATTTTTTGTTGTCAGGTGTGTGTTGCAAAAGCAGTCGTCTACCTCATCTTGCCACCACCCAAGATGGCCCAGGATGTGGGCTCTCCCTGAGTGAATCTTTGGCAATCTGCCAACCTGATGTGTTCGGCCTCCTTCTTTAGTCTGAGCTTGCCTTCTGCTTAGAAAGGGCCATTCTCAGTTCTGGCAGGGAGTTTTCCCAACATTGAGAAGGTGGCATTCTTACTCCCCACTGCAGCCTGCACCTCTGACCGGTGGTCAGCAGACAGGACAGAGGTCCTCATTAGACAGAGTTCAGCAGGGTCTCTGACCAAAGTGCATCTTCAGAGTCTGCACCTACCCACTGTGACCACGGGCAGGCTCTGAGTCCTAAAGCAGGAGGAACTGTGCGACCATCCTGATTGGAAATTTGTGAGGATCACCGTGTTACTCAAGTAAGGTCTTTGGAAAGTGTCGTATTACTACTGTTTGTGAACTGCTTGTTGGTGGCCTGGCTGAGCCACACACTTTATGAAAACCAGGACCCCTCAGCTGGTGTGGGTGTCTATGCAGCCTGAGACCCTCATGTGAACAGCCTCGTGGCAGCTGTCTTTGCCCCTTGCCACCATCAGTGCCTCCTTGTTCCTGGGCACTGCTTTCTCTGATGGTGCTCCATTGTTTTCCTGCACCTCAGTGTCTACAGCTGGATGTCTCTTCCGCAATCTAGGCGAGGGGGCATCAATGGCAGTTCTGCTGTGGCACTGCCCTCCTTCTTAGCTTGTCTTGCTCTGTCTTAGGCTCCCTCAAAGATCCCACCCTTCAGGTTCTTCCACAAGTTTCTTATTGAAATCCGAGCAGAAAACTATGACCAATATGACCAATCCTATACCCACTGAAGACATGAATGAAGAATTAAAACAATTCTCCATGGACTCTACCATATAGATCCCTAGAAGTAATTTCTAAAAAAAAAAAAAAATCAAGGAAGATGTAATAGTTTTCCATAAATTAGAATACCCTACATGTACAATTAAATGAAATGGCTAGTATAGTCTTGAAACCAAAACCAGATAAGGTAAATTAAATTCTGTGATATTTTAAAATACTGTAAATTCTGACTAATGTGAGTTAATCTCAATATATGAAATAGTAGATTAACATTGAAAATGCAATAAATAAAATTAGCTACCTCAAGAGTTTAATGGAAAAAAATGTGATTATTGCAATAGATTCAGGAAATTCATGAATAACATTCACCCTATATTTGTAGGACAACTATCTAACTTTAAGTGACCTGTGACAACCATTTGAATTAATGCTGCTTTCACAGCATATCTCTTGGCTTGTTAAAAACCCGACAAGAATTTCCGTAACATTAATTTATTTTTAACACCTATATTGGGTGTGAACCCACCATAAAGTTTGCCCACTGAAAAGGTCTACAATTTGATGCTTTATTAAATTGATACTGTGTGCACCCATCACCACGATCTAATTTAAATATGTTTCCCTCACCCAAGTTCTCTCTTGCGCACTGGCAGTTAATCCCCACTCCCATCTCCAGCCCTAAGCAATACTGCTGTGACATTCCATCTCCATAAATTTCCCATTTGCTTAATAGAAATGGACATATATATATATTTGGAATCTGACTTCCTTCATTTAGCATACTATGTTTGAAGTTAATTGACGTGTTAGCACGTGCTGGTCATGTGTTTTCCTTCATAGTCTGCTGTGTTTACTCATACAGATAGTGTTTATTCATTTATCAGTTAATGGACATTTAATTGTTTTGTTATTTTCTTTGATGAGTAATGTAGCTTTGAGCATTCATATACAGTCATGTAATGCATAATGACATTTTGGTCAAAAAAATTTTTTTTTTTCTGAGACCCAGGCTGGAGTGCAGTGGCACAATCTCGGCTCACTGGAACCTCCACCTCCCAGGTTTAAGCAATTCTCGTGCCTCAACCTCCCGAGTAGCTGGGACAACTGGCACACGCCACCATGCCTGGATAATTTTTGTATTTTCAGGAGAGACAGGATTTTGCTGTGTTGGTCAGGCTAGTCTCAAACTCCTAGCCTCAGGTGATCCACCCATCTCTGCCTCCCAAAGTGCTGGGATTATAGGCATGAGCCACCACACCCAGCCTAATTTTTTTAAGAAAGAAGGGAACTATTTTCTAAATTACTTTTGCCAATTTATATTTCTACCATGATGCATAGCACTAATTTCACCGTACAATGTATGGTAGGCCCCAATATGTAAGAAATGATGAAAGTAACACATAAAGATTGGTATAAAACAAATAAGATTATCATTGTTGCTATCATCTTTGTCAAATTCTGAAAACAATCTGAGTATATTTTTATATAAATATGCTTGGCAACATAGCTGAAAAACGCATTATCAGTTACATTTATCAGTAACAAAGACATAAATTTGAAGGGGGAAAAACACTTGTACTAACAACGCAATGTCAGAATTAACATAAAAATTCTGCTGGTCACTTTGGAATATTTAATTGCCTGGGGCAGTGTTTAGTAGACAAATGAGCATCTATGGAGCACCCAAAGTAGGGGAATCAACAGAACTTGGGTTTCAAAAGTTATCTGGGTTTAGAGCGTGAAACTTTGTTAGAGGACACACACCTTGCATGAGCGAGGTGCCTTGGTGTGTGTGGACGTACCATTATGCTTGGAGGTACAGCATAATGGTGGCTTCCTCCAGAAAGGGACATTTGGGGTGGATTCATTCCATCTAGACAACACAGCCTGATGTGGCATGGACATGAATGGAGGTGAAATGGTCAGTAGTTGAGAGGATCAGTCCTGACAAGGGCCGAGGTGAAAAACCTGGGAACCCCTTCAGGTGCAAAGTCTTCAGTTGAAAAAGGAGGTGGTCACAGGAAATACTGAGACAGGACAGCAAAGCATGGGAGACAGAGTTCTTGGCCCTGCAGGGTGAGTACTGTGGATTCTCAAATTTTCTCCTCTCTCCATTAATTTCTTTCCCAATGCAGATGACTTCCATCATACAGTCTTCAGCAATCTTGAAAGATT